>NC_000013.11:91101463-91404494 GCF_000001405.40 Homo sapiens | reverse complement strand
GGACTTTATAAAAGAAAGGTAGATATGGAAAATGGCTATTATCTATTAAAATTAATTGCTATTGTTACTTAACCAAGTAGATCAGATACCACATTCACAGAGAATATATTTCAACAGACATATGTTTCAAGTCTCTCATGACTCCATTTTAACAAATCAGATCTGTTGTTTGTCGGTTGAACAGTTATACCAAGAGACCATTCATCTATAAATTATGTCTGTTTAGTTGAGGCACCTAGCTAGAATGTTGTTCTTGGTCTTACCAGGTAACTATAAAAGAAATGTGGTAGATTTAGAAAGTGTTCTTATCAAATATAAGGACAATGTGAAAGTGGATTATACACACACACATACATGTACACACCAAAAATACCCATCTTCCGGAAAGCCTTAACAGGCTGGAAACAAGGAAAAATAATAGGGATTGGGGGGTGATAAGTGGAAAATATTATTCTTAAATTCCTCAAGTTGTACCCCTCCTAAGCCAATTTTACAACTATAGGATGTTGGACACTCGGCAAAATGGAACTTAAATTATGGGATGGAGAGAGAATGGGGACATATATAATATTTGTAGTTGATGCACTAGATTTATAGTTGACAGCAATAGTTATAATTAACCCCATGAGGGAATATGTGTGATCAGTATAGTTCAGCACCTGATGAGCCATTGGATTCTATGACCCTAAAGTAGAAAATCAAACTCACTTCTCCACCATTAAGATGCACTAAAGGCCTAGAGAAAAATGAAACACGTGATTCTCTTAGACATCAAAGCACAGACTGGACTTCCCAAGGGAAAAGGTGACAAACTGTCCTGGAAGTGGAACTGGGCCTTGATGCTCACAATTCAAGATAAATAACATGCACAGAATTAGAAAACAATGATGAGGCAAGACCACTTGGGACCTGTGGTATAAAAGGATGAGGACAAAGGCACTCTGCAACCACAAAAATAACTAAACATTCCCCTCTTTTAACCAGCACTAGCTACTACTGCTTCTTTATTTATGACAACTACCCCACCTTAATCTTTCTAACACCTAGATAAAAGTTACCAAAATAGCCAATTCCTGAATTGCCCCACTTCATTAAACCTTCCTTATAATAATAGCCCACCACAAGCCCAAATCCTATAAAAAGCCCTCCCAACTACCTACTACCAAACTCTCCAGAGTCCCTTTGGTGTGCAATCTCCCTTGCTGCAACAAACAAAATGAATCTAATTTTACTACAATCTTGTTTCCAGTGGTTCCTGGCTGGTGGGCTTCGACCCAGGGCAATCCTGATGTTAATCATCTGCCCCAATGTCAGACGACGGGTCCCAATTCTGGCTTTGGAAATTTGATCCCCACAAACACGTTGTTCAAACAGCAAAATTGGTTTCATGAGAAATAGAGTCGCAATTTCAGATTACTGTCCATGAGTGACTATGGCCACCAACATTCTAATTGTGTGAATCTGTAAACCACCTTAGAAGCACTATTTTACCTCCCTACAGACAGAAGAACGGTGGTGTGGCAGTGGAGACAGTGGTTATGGGCATTGCAGCTAGCAGCAGCGCAGCCTTGTTTCATAGAGGTTTATTAGTTCACAAAAATAAACAAAATATTCACCATAATGTAACGGATATCACTTTAGATAAAAATACATTTCCCAAATTTAAAAATAATCATTTCTGACTTGAAACCAACTCATTATTGTAAAAACATCTTTGATATATAAAGATCTAAAATTAAAATGTCATCCTTAAAAATCAAGTTAAAATCAAGACAGTAAACAAAAAAATTATAATGACAACAAGAACATATTTTCAGCACTTACTATGTGCCTGGATTTGTGACATTTTACATTATTTCATTTTATCTATGCAAACACTTTTTAAGAATATTCCTATTTCTAAATGAGAAAACAGAGGTTCAAGATGATAATTTGTCTATGAAGCAGAACTACAAGTGGTAGAACCAAGTTTTGAAAGCCAAATGTCTATCCAGTAAATCCAAACTCCAAGGTTACCAAGCAGATCATTTTTCTTAGGTGTGAGAATGAAACTACACTGTCCTTGGAGCAATAATAAGATTTGATTATAATGAAAGCAGTTTAAAAAACAACAACAACTTCAGAGCACTGCTTACAGTGTCTTTTAGTATTAAAATTTCACTTAGCCATGTCAAGAGTTTATTTTTATTACTCTATTTATAGCCAAAATCTACCAAGGAAAAGTTACTTTCACAGACTACTTGATATCGAGAGTATACTTGCTATAGATTTCTATATCAACAAACATGCATATTTCAAAAAATAGTTGGTATATAAATTATCTAAATGTATTATTTTTTATGAACTTCCCCTTTCTGAACTACCCTCTAAAAGAGGAACTACTGCATGTGTGAACAATGCACAATGCATGTGCAAAGAGAATTTTAATAGAAAAGCATTATCCCCATCCCCAATAAATAAAATAAAAATGAAAAGACCTTTAAAAGACACTTTCAGTAACAGTTCTTTTCTGAATAAAATAAACAAGAGCAAAGGGCACCTTGACTACTACTTAGAAAATAAAATCGGAACACAGGGAAATCTCTAATTCTAATCACATTTACACCTTCTCTCCTTTTTTACATTTCTCATCCAAACATCCTTAGGAGCTCAATAGGCTTAAAAGAATTGGAGCAGGGTAGAGAACAAAGGTGAGGGGAATCTGAGAAACAGTTTAAATCACTGCTCTCACAATTTTAATAATTTCAATTTGGATAACATTTTTATCAGAAAAAGTAAAAGTCACAAAGGTAGGAAGAAACTAAAAACTTATTCTACCTGCTTATATTATACAAACTGTGTTTTGGCTAGACATCTCAGGGATTAACCACTGTGAACAAGAAATGCAAGAAAGCAGTAAAAATACGTACTTCCAAAAACAAAATCAAATTAAATGTGTTTGTTTTAGTCAGTGAAAGGGTATGTGCTAAATGAATAGATTTGTTAAAAGATATTACTATTTGTATTCTCATGGAGAAATGACTAAATTATGTTCTCTCTTGAGATTGAGGATAATCTTAGAAAATATGATAGTCAATTACCATATTCAATCATGTTAAATGTTGTAGATCATATATAAATACAAAAAGAAAGAAAATTATTTATTAAGCATGTGGTATGTTTGGTTTACTCAATTTGGGATTGAGGGGTTTTTTTTTTTAGAGAGATGAGAGGAATCAGTGTTTAAAAAAGTTTAATATTTTGCTGAATTATTTGTAAAAGAATGACCAACAATACAGACACAAAACTTCAGAATTATATCAAATTCCTATATGAATGCCTTTTTTGGGGGGTGGATCTAAATCAGCATAGCACTTTTGTGTGACTTTTTCTTAGTGAAAATATTAAAGGAACTTAGCATTTCTTTTCACCAGTACCACTGATGTCTCTAAGCCTCTTCTGTGAGTGCTCCCGTGATTCCTCCATCACCTTCAGCCACAGATTTAAAAAATCTACTAGCAATGGGGAAACAATCCAGAGTGACTTAGAAAAGAAAGATTCCTTGTCGTCATGGAACTTTTTTGTGTGTCATGTGTATCAAATGCAAATAATTACAGTCATTTCCCTCTCCTTAGGACAGAGCTTTAGTTTTCCCTGACATCCTGGTAAGACACTGTCTCAGTGACTGATACTCTGGAAAGTTCATCTTTAAAAGAGATGAACACCCAATCAATGTGTTGCATTCAGCAGATACCAGAAATACTGAGATACCAGAGTGGAGTGAAATCAGGGCCTTACTGGGGAGAAGGGGCTGGCCATCAACATTCGGTGAACATAGCAGGCAAAGTTACCATATTTGGGGACTAAAAATCTAATAATTCAGGTAAAGATCTCACATCATAACACCCTCACCACCCACACGCACAAACTCACTTTAGTTTTATCAGCAGCCAATAAAGTGAGATTTATTTCCTAATGAAAAGAATGCACTAAGAAAAATACAGATCTATAAGGCGATATTTTATTTGGGGATAGAAGAATCGCCCTAAACTGAGAATGTCAACTTTGTTTCAAGTAATACAGAAAAAGCACCTAGTACCAAACAGGTATACAAAGAAATAGCTGGGTTTAAGACTGGTCATGTAAACTCAAATGGAGTCAGTGTTCCCGAATGCCTAGATTTTCTTTCTGGGATGACTTAAAATTGAGCAAAGCAATCAAGAAAAGCGGCTACAGCTCACACTTCCTCATTGCTACAAGCAAGTCCCCCAACCCTGGAAACTCGGGACTTTAGACTTAAGCGTCCTCCACAAGTTCTTTGTTCAACCAGTAACCTCACAGATTCGTCTGTGTTGGCTTCATAGTCACAGCTAAAGGGGTGCATGGCTCTAGTGAGATCTTACTTAGCTCTAGACACCTGCTATTGCGTTTGACAGCTATGACCTATTCTTCCAGACAGAACCTACACTGGAACTCCCACCAGCAGAAGGAAATTGGTGCGGTGGAAACGGGGAGCAGGGTTCGAAAGCACAGGCAAAAGGCGCTCACAGGAAGCAAGATCCACGCTGGCCACACAAACTGTATCTTTCCCTTTGGAACGCTGGTACATCTCATCCATGTCAAGTGACTCCCCAGTACGTTCGGTTTGATCGCCTGTTGCCCTAACACTTTTCAGGCTAAAAACTACCTTGGTGCTGGGAGACACACTGGGTGGTTGGGTTTCCTCCAAGCAGGGCTTGATACGAGGGCACAGAAGGGCAGCTAAGGGTCACGTCTCTGGGTGCACAGGGTCCAAGTCCTAATTACAGAGGAGACCGGCTGCCCTTGTCTGTGCCCCATTCTCCAGCAAAGGGGTATATCGCAGGTTTGTGATTTTTAGTACCAAACTTGGGGCGATCAATTCAATTCCCTCCACCTTATGAGAAAGCAGTAAACCGAAATCCCCGGTGGGGCACTGGGGAAATTCCTACTCGGAAGAGAAACGGAGTTAGACTGCGTGTCCCCCACGCCCTGATGTCTGCTTTCCTGGTTCCTTCCAACTCATCCTCCAAGACGAAGGGAGCCGGGCGGGAAGCAGATGCCCAGAACGGGGATTCGTCGCAGGCTTGGTTAGGGGTCCCCAGAGCTGCGCTGCGCTGCACTCAGGCTACCCGCACCAAGCATCCCCGGAAGCCTCCCCGGGATTCACCCTGCGCGGCTGCAGGGCCCGAAAGGTCATCTTCCCACGAGTGCCACCAAGGGAGCCTGGGGGAGCGAAGGCCGGGCTCGGACGCCGCCAGTCCAGAGACCCCCTCATTGCCCCTTACCTGCCCGCGGCGAATCCGGCAGCCCCCTGACAGCTCCCAGCAGCCGCCACTGGAAAAGTTTCCGAACTTCTTCGCAGGTCTGCACGCCCTCGCTGCGGGCGGACCCAACCAGGGCCAGAAGGAGGAGGCAGCGAAAGCCCACGGGCCAGGTCTGTGCGTCCATCCTCGCCGTCCTGGTCCCCTTTACCCGCCAGTGGACCCCACTCGCCCTGCGCGCCCTGGCTGAGCTGCAGACGTGGAAGACACAGCGGCCGAGGCTCTCGAGCGGTGCGAGCCGGCTGCGGGGTGTACGGACCGCCCGCGGGCACCGGCTTCACCTGGGAGCAGTTAGCTCTTCCCGGAGGAGGCCCTAAGCTGAGACACCAGAGTTTTCCAGCTGAGCACCCTCTGGTCTTCTTCCCTAGCCGAGAAGAGTGGGCGGCTGGGCGGGGCGAAGAAAACTAGTGGAGCCGCAGGGAGCCCGCAAGCATCCGCTCTGGCCACCACTGCTGCAACTGCTGCCGCTGCCGCCACTGCCGCCACTGCCGCCACTGCCGCCGCCGCCGCCGCCTCCGCCGCCCGGCTCGGCTCGCAGCAGCTAACCTGGGATGTGCCCGCTCGCTGCGCTCCGCGGAAGCCCCGCCCCGCACTCCCCGCCCCGCGGACAGGCCACGCCCCTGCCACGCCCCCGGCGCGCTGTCCCGCTCCGCACCCACTAAGATGCTGTCATACGCGGCCCAGTGCTGAAGACTCGGAGCGACATCGATGCAAATAAATAGAAGGAAACCCGGACCTCGCTCTCCCAGTCCGTTCTGGGGAAGAATCATCTGATAAAAACAGAGAATGTATAAATAGGGTCAGAGAAGACAAGAGATGAGAAACACCAACTGGAACTAAGAAATATCTCATCTATGTAATCAAGGTCCTCAGTACATAGGAATTTGTATTCTAATTGCATTAAATAGGATCTGGACATAATACAAAAGGCAAAAACTATTTACGGTTAAAGATCTCAATTGAGAGACTTCATAACACTTAGGTTGTTAAAGAGTGCACATGAGAAGTTATTTTTTAAAATGGCTTTGTTTTACTGCTTAGGAACATTTTTCTATAACATGATTTTCTGAAAGGAGGTATAAGAATTACAATCAAACTTTATCACATTCTTATCACAATGAAATCTAGTTTTAAGTCTCTTATCACCATTTAGCATCATATTTTACTTCAGCACTTTGTATTTGTGGGGCTCCTCTGAGCTTTACCACTTCTGGAATTTCTTTAAAATATTTTTCAGAGAGCAATTAAGTTAAGAGTGCTCAGGGGAGTTCCTTACAAGGAATATAGAAAAATAAATACTTTAAGCAATTTTAAAATGGCAAAGGAATTTTGTCAATTTACAGTTTATGAGAGGAATGCATTACGCACCATAAACCAAAGGGCAGGTGCATTTTTTAAATGTGGTTGACTCAACAACTAAGCCTGTAAGAGTGTCTCAATCTACAGCCACTTGAAGAGAGTACTCCTTCTGTAAAATAAACTAGTTAAAAGCATCAGGCAGAGGGGACAATGAATGCTTTAACCACTTTAAGGAATTTCATCTCAAATTTGAACCCTTACCAAGAGATAGTAGTGAAAAACTTTATGTCTTAGTGAAGATTTTTAATGAACATTTAATATCAAAGGCAGCACTTTCAGCAGTATATCACTTGCTTTAAAACCATTCCAGGGCAATGGCTGAAACACTGCTTCAGAGTGAAATCATGCTACTTGGTGTTTGGCATCAGTTTTCTGAATATGAGATTTTGTTTCAAAGGGCAGTGCTCTTCATGAATCTCTTCTGCTCTAACCACCAAGTATGGAAAGATTGTCTGGAAGCCACCTATATCTATGAAAAGAAACAAGAAAAACCATGAGAATGTATATAGTGCTTATGGGCCAGATAATATTCTAAGTATTTTATGGAAATGAATTCACTCATGTAATCTTTATAACAACCTTATAAAGTAGTTACTACTATTATCATTGTTTTACAGATGAGGAAACAGGAACACAGAGGTGAAGTGACTTACTGAATGCCTAAGGTAAGTGACAAAGCCAGAAATCAAACTGAGGCTTCCAAATCCAGACCGCATGCTCTTCTCCAGAGGCTCTCCTTGACTATTCTGTGGTACAGAAAAACCCATCAGGTTTCACCAAAGGCCTTTGGGCAGCAACACCAAGGGCTGTTTATTCATTTAGCAGATTTTTTACTAGTAAATATGCATAATTTCTATCTATATAACTGTATTCTACTGGAATTATGTGTATCTCTATATAAGGCTAATAAATTCCCAAGTTTTTCTAAAACATCTTTATTGTTACCAAGATCTCTCCTTGATAGATTTGATCATCTTAGACTCTTAGCATCAAAAAGATCCTTAAATTACCATCTATCCCATTAACTGGAATCTCTAAAACGGTGTGTCTTGCAAGGATAAAAATCATAAACACAACTGAGTATTGATGGTTCAGTAAAAGCTAATTGACTAATACATATTGGTTGAAAACATACAATTTTTTTAACCGCTATTCTAGGCTTAACAGGAGTTTAAAGAGACACACAAGCAAGTTTTCTCAGTGATTTTATAAGTTAACAAAACAGGTGGGAGGTCATTTATAGAAATGCCATAGGAACTAACAAGAATATATTTAGTCTGTATAAAATATCCCCATTAACAAAAAATAAATATATTTTCCTTCTACCTCTTATCCATAACTGCTAGCAAAGTGGATGAGCCAGCATGTGGCCTGGAAGGGCATCTTGTCCTATTAGCATCCCTAAGCCCACCACGCAAGGCAACAGTATGCCTGCTACTGAAGCTACCAAGCTTCAAGACAAGTTTTCTAGTTCCACCCAGAACACAATGCCACGATCCCTTTTATAAGAACATTCTAGAGCAACCTCTGCAAATTATACCATAACTAGCCTTTTATTCAATTTACTGGTAAACATTACAAATGAAGCTAGGGAAAACTGTCCATAATTTGATAGTTATAATGCCTTATTTTACAAAATGTATTTAAAAAATGTATTGAATGTCTTTTATATAATAGGCATTGCGCTTTGCTTTCAAAATACCAATACCCTTGGATAGGAGAATCCTTAAATGGTCATTATTTAAAATACAGCTTAGTAATATTCTAAATCCAAAACTTCCCTGATACTTTCTATGTAACTGTTTATATGTTTATAGTTTGTCAACTTAGGACCTTGTAAAGAGAAATAAAAAACCTCGGCCGGGTGCGGTGGTTCACGCCTGTAATCCCAGCACTTTGGGAGGCTGAGGCGGGTGGATCACGAGGTCAGGAGATCGAGAGCATCTGGCCAACATGGTGAAACTCCATCTCTACTAAAAATATGAAAATTAGGTGGGTGTGGTGGCCCATGCCTGTAATCCCAGCTACTCAAGAGGCTGAGGCAGGAGAATCGCTTGAACCCAGGAGGCAGAGATTGCAGTGAGCCCAGATCGTGCCACAGGACTCCAGCCTGGGGGACAGAGTGAGACTCCATCTCACAAAAAAAAAGAAAGAAAGAAAACCTCCAGTGTGGTTTAGGTGATTTAATGATATCACAGAGTCTTCAACCCTGACTATTCTTTTAGGCTAAGACTGGCCACTAATTAGTTTACCCTCAGAAGCTGATTTGGGTAACTTTTATACCCAGTCAATGACAAGAGCTAAGATTTATTAAGCACTTACAGATATTATCTCATTTAACATTTCAACCATTCCATGAGACAGTTACTATTATACTACTGAGAAAACTGAAGTACAAAGAGATTAAATAACCTTCCAGAAATCCTGATAAGAGCCCAAATGCAAGCCAGGCTTCATAACTTTTGTACCCCTTTAGTCACTACACTCGCCTGCCTGAAAAGCCAGACACCTGGTTTGTGGCCCCTTGAACTCAACCTATCATATAAATATAAACTCTGGTACTCACAGCTATCCATGTGGACAACCTGCTGAACACCTTGGTTATAGTGGTCCAGAGCTCTGCATTGGCTTCAACGATGGCCTGATAGTACCTCACTGACGTGGGGCTGGCCAAGGTACTACCTGCTCCTACTTCCTACCTCCACTAAGCTTTTAACTAGGAGAACTGTTTTGCAAGCACTAAAATCCCACGAACTGCCTTGACATCTTTGAGCCTCACAGGTCCCTAGTCATGAGTTCTCCTGCTCTGGCCAGATATGCCCCCCACCCAGATGGAAAGTCTTGCTTGCTGGCTACCTCCCTTAGCTGGACCAGCTCCATCCCACCCTGTCTTCAACCTAATGGCTTTCACCTCCCTTCAGAGCAATTAGTCCAACAAGATAATCACATCCTCCTGTGGGAACCAAGGGGTCCTCCCCACAACACACCATCTTCTTGTTACTACAAAGCTTGCCTCCCACAACTCCTGCAGGTTCACTCTGCTCCCAAATGAAGCCCCTCCTCCCCTGTATGGCCCTGCATGGCATGTGGTAGCCTCCTCCCCTGGGCTATGAGTATGTGTGACTAACAAACTGCTGTAAATCTCATCTGTCCAGTCTTGTGTGTTTGATCATCTCGTATAATTTACAAAGGGGGATCCCTCTTTCATCAACTGGGTGAAAAGGAGGTTGTCAGAGAAAGAATATCCTTAATACAAATAACTTCCACTTCATTATTTCCAAAAAAGTGCTGACTTTTGTCTTGCCCTACCTTCTCTCTCCCTCCGATGTAGGCTCTAAGCCGTTGGTTGCACAATAAAGAGAACCAAGTTGGATGTCAGCCCGAGCTGCCCCAGTAATGAATTTCTGCCACCAAGTAACCAGGAGAAAATTGAGTGATACTCCCCTGAAATCTCCTCTAGTGAAGATAGTAATGGTTCTGTTAAAAAAAAAAAAAATCACCACCGGGCACAGTAGCTCTCGCCCGTAATCTCAGCACTTTGGGAGGCTAAGGCAGGAGGATCACTTGAGCCCAGGAGTTTGAGACCAGCCTGGGCAACATAGGGAAACTCTGTCTCTACAAAAATTCCAAAAAAATGGCCAGGCATAATGGCACATGCCTGTAAGCCCCAGCAGCTTGGGAGGCTAAAGTAGGAGGATCACTTGAGCCCAGCAGGTTGAGGCTGCAGTGAGCCATGTTCGCACCACTGCATTCCAGCCTGGGTAACAGCGTGAGACCCTGTCTCAAAAGAAACGAAAAAAGAAGAGAGGAGAGGTGAGGCGAGGTAAGGCGAGGCGAGGAGAGGAGAGGAGAAGGCAAGGCTGCCTAAAGGAGAGACTACACAGCAAATAAAATATTACATAAAATACTCAAAACCAGACACCAAACTGAAATTAACATGACAGTCAGTGGGAATCTTTGATCAGCAAACATTTTCAAAAATCACACACACACACACACACACGTGTCAGTATACCACTAATGTGTATATATATACACACACATGTGTGTCTGTATACCACTAATCTATATTTTCAGTTTGAAAATCCTCATAATCATCAGTACATGTTTATCAATGATTTTTAAATATTTTAGATGTACTTATGTCATTATCTCATAGTGAGTGTGCTTCAAGGCAAAGACAATGTTAACTATTTCACAAAAAGCCTTAAATAAATACTGTTACTGTGTGAAAATTTCAAAAGTATTTTGTACTATCTTTAATTTTACATGTTTTATATTTGCAATTTCTAATGAAAGACATTTCATTTCTTTCAGAGAACTTATGGAGAAATAAAAATAATAGTTGCTTTCAAAAAGAGAATCTACAGTATTAGAAAGAAGACTAGGAAAAGAAACCAGCAACACTCAATGATTTTATGAAGCCAAATGTCTTCAAATAATTTTCTTCTAGTCTATAATGTAAGAATGTTAAAACCGTGTCCCTCAAAGTTGCAATATACATTGCATGTGTAAATTGTATGTATAATTACAACATAATGGAAATGAATATACTACACATTTCTCTCACTTTCAAATGTTGGTTTTGCACCAACTATTTTTGGTTTCCAAATAGAGTGAAATTTACATCCAGAATTTCATTGTATCATTAATTATATCAACAGCTTAAGGAAAAATAATTATATTAACCAATAAATCCAGTTGTTAACTACATGAAATACATAATCTTGCTTAGGTGAATGTTTTCCAGAAATTAAACTAGGGAAAAAGTCTCTAACCTTTATAAGATTGTATACCTAATGTTGCTGGCTGTTTAACCTGAGAACTAAGGGGCCACAAGAGTTTATCTGCCAGATGATAAGCCTTCTGAGGTCAAGTGAGCCTGCGCATATCCACTTCTACCCTCTGTAGTCATTGCATAACTTTATTGAATGAATTTGGCTGCTATAAGGTTGATAATCTCATGTGTCCTATGTTATCTTTATTAAAATCTTTGATTCTTTTTTAAGCAGCAGTCCACTTTTTAACTTCACTTAATCCCTAAATTATTATATTACTTTCAAAGTGGAAAATTCACTATCTGATAGAATAGTATCAATAAACATCTTCAAAACCAGGTTGTAATTTCTCAAGCTATTTGTGATCACTTCATCTTCTAGATTTGACTTTCAGTAAATCTTTAATGTCTGTTTCACTTCTTGTCATTACTTTTTATGATTAAAAATTTGAGGTAGATGTTTTAAAATGTTAATGTTACCACTAAATGAATTATTCAATCAAGAGATAAAGAATTATTTTCCTAATTAATTTCCTGCAACTTTGACATTATACTATCTTAAATATTTTCAGATAAAATTACTTTTAATGCTAGTTATCAAATATTCTCCAGAATGGGTATTCATTATCTGTGTCACTTTGGTGGTTGTTAAAACCACTCTGATATTTCCTTTACTTACTATGTAAAATGAGGGGAAAACACAACATCTATGTTATAATGTTGATAGGGTTAACTGAGATAATATATGTGAAGTATTTTGTACAATTCTTGGATTATGTGACCACTCAATAACTAGACATTATTCTTCTTCCCCACTTGAAAAAAATACCTGCCATTAATTTGTGCTCTATTAGTTACATCCTAGAGGTATTTAAGGTAATAAGCCCTCTCCTCTAAACTCAATAACAATTCAAAAGTAAAACCTCTTGCCCTCCCCATATTTGTAATATGGTTCTTTCATGTCGTATAGCAGTTATGCACCTATCAAACTATTTTTTTGAGTAATGGAACAAATGAGCATCATCTCAACTCAACGTAGGTACAGGAGATTTTAAGTTGCTCAAGGTCATGAGCTAAAAGTCATTTTTAAAGGTAAAAGAGTCACTCTTCTCTGAACATAATGAGCACTTAGAGCAGGATCTGGAAACTAATTATCATCAGCTTTTTAAGATGCAAAATGTAGACTCTCTCCTAATAATTAAGCCTTATAATTGATAATTATCTTTGATTAATGAGTAGGAAGTTTTTCCAGAGGCTTTCGCTGCTGTGTACCATTGTCATAATTGATCTTTAATTGTTCCATGTAAGAATCCCTTTTATCATGTTTAATCTCTGCTATTTATAAATAAGGACCATGTACCACCCTTATTAACTCTCCCTAGATGTAATATTACTTTACAATTGTCTTTCCAATTTAATTAATATTCGGCTTAATTCTTTACATTTGCATATGAAAAGGTACAAGCAGTTCATGCTATCAAGCAGAAAGGAGAAACCCTTTGCTCTGACCACTTTTGAATTCTCTTCTTGATCCAAATTTTGAGAGAAGAGAGAACAATACTCTCTCTGGATATGCCAGAGGAGACTGTACATCATTGCCATCTTTCTGCTTCTGGATAATGTATTTAGGCCCTTCTTATCTTAGGAAAATATGTATCATTTCATCTGGGCTCTGTTTCCTATATAGCATCCTAGTTTTTCCTCACTTTCCTTTTCCTGCCAATATTTCCAAATGATCTAGCTACTTTCCTGATCTCTGTATATCAGATTAGTCCGAAACCACACGGCCAACTTTTTTCATATATCTGCTGAGTCTGACATTGCTAAACACTCTCGTAAAATTTCTGTCCCCTTCAGCTTTCCTGAAAATTCACCGTCCTCAGTCTTCTCCTAGCTCTCCAACATTTCTTTGTCTATTCTTTTGCCTATTTTCTACCTTTCCCCTGCCTCCAAATTTCCCAAGACTTATGCCCTAGGCCTTGCTTTTCTAGTTATTCTTCCTAGGAAGGTGTCCTGGGTTAAATAGTTTCCCCTCAAAATTCATGTCCACCCATGCATTTTGAATATCAGAATGTTACTTTATTTGGAGCTGGGATCTTTGCAGGTGTTATTAATTAAGGATCTTAAGATGAAATCATCCAAGATTTAAATCCAATGACTGGTGTCCTTATAAGAGGAGACGCAGACAGAGAAGGAGGAGATATGAGATGGAGGCAAAGATTAGAGTGATTCAGCTGCAACCCAAAAAAATGCCAAGGATTGCTGTCAACCACCTGACGTTAAGAGAGGAATGAGCCTGATGTGGTATTTGGTTTTCTTTCCTTTGTTAGTTTGCTGAGGATAACTAGGTGATGGGTTGATAGGTGCAGTAAACCACCATGGCACACGTTTGCCTGTGTAACAAATCTGCACATCATGCACATGTAATCCCAGAACTTAAAATAAAATTTTTAAAAAAGAGGAATGAGATGGCTCTTCCCTCGGAGCCTCCAGGAGGAACCAACCCTGCTGACATTTTGATTTCAGACCTATGGATATTTCTGGAAACTTGAAAGAATACAATTCTGTATTAAGCCCCCAAGTTTGTGGGTTTGGCAGCCCTAGAAAATGAATACTGAAGGCTTACGCCTTCACCTCTAGCATCTGTGCTAAATATCCAGAGACGTTTCTCTCTAGGTCTGGCCTCTTATCTACCCCATCTGCTTTTTAATTTGGGTATTCTACCATCATCTCAAACTCTATTTTTAACAAAGGGATGTTATTATCTTCTCCCCAGTTCACACTCTCCCTTATCCATTGTTAAACTTATTGACAAACACAAGAGCCTGAGGTCTGTTCTTTTTGTTAATAAAATCATCCGTGCTAAACCAGAATGTTCATATTCTTTCTCCTTTATTACCTCTACGTAATATAAATTACATGACTTATCAAGTCATCCACTTTTCTCTCATATTCATCTTCTTCATTCCAACGTCCCCAAGCTTTCTCTTTAAATTACCAGTGGATTGCACTAGCCCCAGAGTGGGGTCATCACCTACACTGTCTTTCTGGTCTAAATCATTCTCCATCCTAGGCCCATGTCAGTCCATTTGCATCAGGCTTTTATATTAATATATATATGCTACATAATATATTTAGTATATTATAAATATACTAAAAAGTGCTAATTGGTTATTTCTAGTTTATTATATACTATATATTATATACTATATATTATATACATATGTATATATTAGTGTAATGTATATTGGTGGCAAACCAGAGTCTAGCATCTACCTCTGTATTTCTTCAAATATAGTTCAGGGAATGCCAGTAACATATTCACTTGGAGTATTAGAATGCAGATTCCTGGGTCTTATCCAAAATCAGATTCTTGGTTTGGGATCTGGGCTATTCTCATAAAATTCTCATGAAAGCTCAACATTTAAATGTATTGAGTTCCCTTTACTTTTATTTAAATTCACTCTTCTTCCTACATAAACTCTGTTTCTTCTGGAGGCAGAAAAATCCACCACTTATCTTCCCTAAAATGTGCCTTGCTCATTTCAACTTGAAGCATCACTTAAGCCTGGAATATTTCCTTCTTGCTCTCCACCTCTCTTTCGTTAAAAGCTCCACTCAAGTTGCTTACTCATCACAAGGAATTTTCCAGCCATGCAACTCCACACTATTCTCTTCCACCTCTGGGTTCCTATCACATGTTATTGTGCCAGTTACTATGTACTGATTAATTATATGTCATTATTTAGGTAAACATGCCATTACAGGTTTGTTTCCTTAAGAAAATCTTAAGCTGCTCCAGATTCTGCACAGGATCTAGCGCATAACAGGAACTCAGTAAATGTTTTCTAAATTAGTGCTTGAAAGAAAGGCCAGGGGCAGCATCTTGAAAAGCTCACAAATGCATATAGGACACTCAGATGTAGACCACTTTGTTAGGAAGTACACTAATGGGGATGAATACTTATACTCCTATTCATTCCACTTGAGTACAACTATGAAGGTTGACTGATGATAATGTAACAATGATACCATGTCTTATATTTGATCTTCAAGAATGTGAGAGCAGATAACCAGGCTTAAACTATTAAAGTTATATTTTCTACTAGTCTAATAGCCACTGAATTATTGTTAATACAACAAAACTGGATGAACAAGCTAAAGAAATAATTATGTTGATAAAAGTACAATTTAAAAATTAAAACCATATCTGGATTCATTATTCACTTCTAAATATAAATCACTGCATTCACTCTGACCGATATTTATTGAGCATTGTTATGTATTATGCAAATCAAAATATTGATTACCTGGCCCATGGCACACTAATCATGGAAATCAAACATAGAATGATCTCTATTGCTCTTTATGAAGAATAAAGCTTAAATATTCTGCAGAGAAATATCTACAGTACACACATTCTACCAGCCTGCTTTATTTTCTTAAATCCATATCAATGTAAATAGACACAATGATACTTTAAGAAACTTTCTTTTTTTCTGAGACAGAGTCTTGCTCTGTCACTCAGGCTAGAGTGCAGTGGCATGATCTCAGCTCACAGCAGCCTTCACCTCCCAGGCTCAAGTGATCCTTCTCCCTCAGCCTCCCAAGTCACTGGGACTACAGGCCTGCACCACTACACCAGATAACTTTTTTTTTTTTTTGGTAGAGACGAGGTCTCCCTATGTTGCCCAGGCTGGTCTTGAACTACTGAACTCAAGTAATGTTCCCACCTCAGGCTCCCAAAGTGCTGGGATTACAGGCATGAGCCACCAAGCCTAGCAAGAAACTTTGTCTACAAAGGAACATATGTTTTTAAACTGCCTTGGCTTTCACTAATTAGCATATTCCTCTCTAAGAAAAAAGGTGTAATATATATTACAAACTTCAGAATTCAAAACACATTCCTCGCATTCTCTTGTCCTTATTCTCACTTTGGAGATGTTACATGCAGAAAATATGGAAAAACAATCATATTAGCTCTCCCCAATATCACCTCTGCTCACACATTTAATATAGTGAATGTTTCCTCAGAATCCAAGAAGGATTACCTAAACCGTTCATTCAGAGCAAACCCCGCTGACTTCTGTATCAACTCTCAGTATGCCCTGAATCACTTCAATGATACATTGAAACATCAAAGCACTTATATACATGCCAAGCTCTATTCCAAGCACAGAATTAGGGTTGCAGAGCTGGATCAAATATAGTCCCTGCCCTCAAAAAAAGGTACAATTCTGAAAACTAGAAAGGCACAAAAATACGGACCACAAAGGGTTACAGATGTCCTAATCAGAATACTCAAAGAAAGGCTGCAACACCTTCACAAAGCATGAAGCCTGAGAAGTAAGCTGTGTTTCTTGTGTGATTGCTTAACCTGTGTTCTTGATATTTCAAAATGCAGTTAAATAGAAATGTTTAAATTAAGAACATATATCTCCTTACAATAAGTCATTTATATAAGGGGAAGTGTTGAAAATCATAGGGTTTGGAAAGTCCAGACTCATGTTTTCACTCACAGCACTTATAAAAACAGTCCACATACCACATCATCAATATGATGGAAAGGAATGTAGTCAATAAAAATTACATTTTGAAGTTTCTAAAAACTTGAGGGCTGTCAGATGAGAAAACTAAGATTAGAAACATATACAGTCCCAGTTAGTCAGGAGGATGAGGTGGGAGGACTTCTCAATGTAGCTCACTCCATCTCAAAAAAAAAAAAAAAAAAATAGAAAAGAAAAAGAAGTGTACATAAAGTATAATAGCTGCTGCACTATCAACTGCATAGAAAAAAGGGGTGATTAAAATATACTAAAAATGCTAATTGGTTATTTCCAGTTTATCACTTTTTTTATACTTTCAAGTATTTTCCAAATTTACAGTTAAAATCTGAAAATGGACATTTTATGCAAATAAAATTCTACACTGTCTTTTAAAAAATCCACCTTTCCCAATACTATAGGAAGAAAAGGCAGCATATACAAAGATGAGTGGAAGAAAAATGCACTAAAAAGAAGGCTAGCACTTGCCTTCCCTCCCCATCACAAGAGATTTTAGTGGGAGCTTATGACTGCTCATTGTGCAGATTAGTATATTTCTGTTAAAGATGAACCCTTATATCCAAATTAATTAGTATGCCTTAATTCGATTTCAGGAGCTGAAGTCAGTGGGCAGTAGTAGTTAAGTGGAAGCCCACCAGGCCCTTCAGATTATTAAACAATGTGAACTCCCCTCTCTGCCTTTCTTGCCTATGGTTTCCTCCACTGCTCATGTCCCTTGCTCCTATTCACTCAGCCTCAGCATTTCCCCCTCGTCCAGCAACTTGGCTTCCTAGGAGTCAGTGAGGTAGGTGACAGAGAGGAGGTAGAACCAAGTCAGTCTAGACAGCCAGTGGTGGAAATATAAATAGTGCATATCAACAATTATTCTAGAAGGGCCAAAGAGACCAAAGGATAAGTGTTATTGACATTTGTGTGCTGTTTGTATGTTAATTTGGACAGTGCTATAAGTAAAATAAAATATTGTCCCTTGCACTTTATTACCACGACTAAAAAATCTTCAAAAAAAATAATGATGGGGAGGGAAAATTATCAACCCTTGGATATAATCAAAATTTTCCTCCATTTTCAGTACTTTGTAATCTTGAGCCATTCGCCAAGCTCTCAGAGCTTCCGGTTTCCCTAGAGAGACTGGGCTAAATGGTCTGTTATGTCTCTTGCAGCTGTGAAATTCTACAAACTTTAATAAGAGAGATAGTTATTGATTTTAAACAAGGGCTCTTGAAAAAGAATAAGCAGAAAAAATTTAATTGCTCAAAATGAATTAAGGCACTTATTCTCACTTATTTAGGTAGATTTTTAAAATATCATATATAATTAATTTTTTAGTCTTCATATTCTACAAGTATATAAAGACAGTCCCAAAACTATATATAAATCAAAATAAGACAGACAACCTCAGGTATACAATAGAAAATAAGTTTAGCTCTGCAAGAGAATGATGGGGATGGATTTTCCTCCTGATTTGGGCAATTTAGGAATTAAGACAATTTTGCATAATGTAAAAGTTAAGACTATTTTATTCTATCTATTAGTAATAGCATTTTGTTTCACCACTTACTATATATACCAGAGTCTGTGGTAAGTGTTTTAACACTCATTTTTTCATTTGATCCACATTACAGCTTGTAGGTACAATTATAATCCCTGTTACACATGAAAGAAATCAAGACTCAAATAGGTTAAATGAATTGCCTGAGATCACAAAGCCGGCAAGTGTCAGAACCAGATCAGATCTAGAACACAGATCTGGGTTTACAGATTAACCAGAAAAATAAATGAGAGTAAAAATGTTTAAGTGATTTTTCTTGATGAAACTTTAACATTATTAAATATAATATTTTATCTGTGAGAATCAGAAATGTAAAATAAAAAGTTCCATGGACGAAGTTGACTTTCTCCATATTTCAGTGAAAACTAACGAAAATTTAAAAAAAAATCTTCTCAGCTCTTCTTTAAGAGCCGGTGCGGGGCGGGTAGGGAGGGGGAGATTTTCCTGTGCCCCTAACCACTTTCACTCTGCCCAATGACACACCATTGTCCATTACTCAACCTACCATTGCAGGTCCTTCTTGAACTGAGTCCAAACCTAGCTCTTTAGAATTGTTTTCCACTGTTCCCTTTTATATGAACTTCATTCAAGCCAAACTGAATCATGTCTTCTTCTCATCTTTGTGCCTTTGCCTAAGCCGTTTGTTCCTAGACCTTTATTCCCAGTCCCTAAACATGTCTCAAATTATGTTCATTAAACCAGCTTGTCCTATATGAAAGCCATGATCCTCTCCTCAATTCTCATATCACTTCTCTTGTATGGCATTTATCACCTCATTATTGGCTATTATAGTTCATGTGTCTTGATTTATTACCTCTGCTAAAGTCCTTGTATACAGAATCAATGAAGAGTTCATTTGTGTATCATCAAGGAATTTAGCACAAGAGGGAATGTGTTTGGTTTAGAATACAACTATTTGTTCTCAGACAATCAGAAAGTTTACAAATGGTTGTTTTGTTTTAAGGTCCAGTAACACGTAATGGAAACTGGAACTCCTCTCATCAAGGAATCATTGAAGAGGGAAAGACATACTCTCTCTCTCTCTCTCTCTCTCTCTCTCTCTCTCTCTCTCTCTCTCTCTCTCTTTCTCTCTCTCTCCTTTCCCTTCCTCTCTCTCTTCCTTCCCTCTCTCTCCCTCCCCTCCTCTCCCCCATGCCCCCCCCACCCCACCACTTCTCTCTCTTCGCAACTTCTCTCTCCCTTAAAGAAAAGCTGAGAAGACTATTTTTAAATTTTTGGTTAATTTTCACTGAAATATGGAGAAAGTCGACTTGGGCCATGAAACTTTTCATTTTATATTTCTGATTCTCACAACAATTATTAAGACCTTGGATAAAATATTATATTTAATATGTTAAAGTTTCATCAAAGAAAAATCACTTTAACATTTTTACTCTCATTTCTTTTTCTGGTTAATCTGTAAAACTCAAGGTAAAACTGTGGTAGTGCCTGCACAGTAAAAATATCTATACATAAATTATTTTGAAAATTAAAACTTTGTTTCTTACCATAAGATTTTAATTACAAGCAGAAAACATTGATCAAACAAACTTTCAATGTATTCACCAAATTTTTCTGTCCTCACAGCCATGAAGTTCTATTGTGGGGAGTCCATAGCCCGTAGTTAGGGCTCACAAAAAAAAATAAAAATAAAAATAACAGTATGTTTTCAAACAGTGCCTTGGCTCTTTCTGCTTATAATATGTTCATTTTTACCTGCCTGCCTGCTTCACTTCCCTAGAAGCCTCTTCAACAGCTGAATCCATCAGACTTTTACTCTCCAAATAGCAATGCTGTCATCATTTAAAAAAAACGATCTTATCCAAATGTCTTGGTTTTCACACTTTTCACCACACTATATCTGATACTCATTTCTCTTTTAATATATGTAGTCAATCATCGTCGTCAATTCTCCCTCCCAAAGTTTTCTGACATTTACACTTTCTCTTTCTTACTACACTACCTTCAGCCTAATTCAAGCTTCAACTTCATAGGCCATTCATTCTGCAAAGACTTCTGTGAGCTACAACATGAAAACTGCCACTTCAAAGAACGTGATGGTTAAATACAAAAGAGATGCAAATATATCACAAGAAAGTTAAAAGATCTCAGGTGCCTCCACATTGTTGGATGTAGAGATATATAATCTATTCATTAATATTTTAATGAAATGGAGAATTAAAACATGAATATGGTATATATTTACAATTTTATCCTAAGTTAGTGTACCTGATATACTTCATAATATGTTTCTTGTCCCTAACTTATTCCACATTTTTACTGTTCATAGTATATCTAACATCTGTGGCCACAGAGGGTAAAGGCTTATCAGTTGAAAATCCCAGATTCTGATGATTACACACATATTCTTCTAGTAGTTGTTTTTGGAATTGTTACCAACTTATTGGTTTTCATTTTTTTCCTTCCCAGATCATTGTTCCTAAATTAGAGTTTGGCAGATGGTACAGATTACTTGTTTTTCCAGATGTTCTAAATTTTCTTAATGTGAAAGCTGGTTTACAATTGAGAAAGTAATAAACATTCTTAACTAGCTTCAAAAACTAGTGTTCGATTTTGATGAGATTAAGCAGCAACTGGAGATTATGCTCCAAGACTCAAAACTACTTTGCTGTGCTTAAACTTTTTAAATGCTTCGTTTTCTCTGACATTCCAGTACCACAACCATATCACAACCATTACCCGATAAATATGTTGTATAGATGTACAGACCAGCTACACTATAAAATGGTTCATTTTTTGCCTTTCTTAGCAACAGAATAGATACTATATAATAACGAATGAACAGCTTTAGAGGAAATCATGTATTTGGTCTAAAATAGCATTTTCCAGAAAGCTGTTCAGAGCCATGCATCTTAGTTCCTGTGCTTTTCAGCACTTTCTTAGTGAAATATTCAGAAGATTCTACCCTCTATTCTGAGGAAAGACAACCTAGACTCCATTTTATTAAGTTAACTATGTAAATAAGAAACAACTTTCAATGAAATTACTCACTCTGCAATAAAAATAAAGGCCTGGTGTCAAGTCATTTTATTTTATTAAATATGACAAAATTGATAGGAGGACAATAGTACCTATTACAGAATCTACACATGTGCAGGTTGGTGTTTACTGTGTTTATCATGTACTAGATATTTGGCATTAATACATTTGGTTTATCTTCACTAAAACCCAGGAATCAAATATTATATTTTCTACATTTTTTAGATGTTAAAGAATGCACAAGTATGTAAGTGGTCCAAGGTCACACGGCTTGTCAATGGTGGAGCCAGGATTCAAACCCAGGTAGTCTGATTCCAGAAGCCATGTTCTTTACAATCTAGATGATAACAGCAGCCAGTAAAGGGTAATCACTAATGCTAGTACACTTCGTAATTCATAAATAAAAGAATATGGTAAGTTAAATTCTGGAAATGTGAAAGGAAAGAACCAGAAATGGAAGTCAAGCATAGGATAAATTGTATGATATGTCTAAAATATTAAGATAAAAATGGCTCTACAGAGATCTAAGAATTCTTTAGTAATGCAAAGCTCTTGAAAAGCTAATACTGCAATACTAATATGCTGCTAGCTAAGCCACATGTTTCATTCCTATGTCATCAAAATTGTGAAGCAAGCCTTCTGGATGATTTTTTATGGGAAAAGAACTTCAAGTTTAGAACCAAAATTGGTGCAAAAAGAGTTTCTTTACAGAATTTCACTTATAAAAATTACTCTCCATCAAATATTAATAGGATCCATCTAATGTGAATAGAAGGGTTGCCACTTGCTACTTTAGATCTGAGCTCGCCAGTATTGTAGCCACTAGCTGCAGCAGCTATTGAGCACTTCTAGTCCAATGGACACATGCTATAAGTATTAAATTCACATTGGGTGTTGAAGACTTAAGACCAACAAAAGAAAAGCATATAAAACATCTCATCAGTAATTTTTATATTATGTCATTGAAATAATATTTGAGGCATATCGTATTAAATAAATTATTAATATTAATCACCCATTCCTGTTTATTTTTTACTGTGGCTACTAGAAAATTTAAAATTATGTATGTGGCTTACATTATATTTCTATTGGAACGCTTTAGATCTTTTAAGCGCACACAGTGAGGGTTGTAATATGTATTCATATTACCTAGTCTGAAGCATACATTAGTATTAAAACTTTCCTTCTCAATTTATATCTGATAAAACTTTTAATTTCTGATAAAATACACTATATTTACTCAAATGTATTTTGTCATTATCAACTTCTGCAATGAAGAGTTAGAAGAGAGCTACTTATTTTTGGTATCACACTTGCAAGACAGTTGCAAAGCATTGGAGCCACCAACTGTTCAAAAGTGGCAATACCCAGCTAATTGACTCACAGAACAAGAAATAAATATCTGTAAGAAACACAATTCTGTGAAGGAAAAAATGTTGAATAACATGTAGACAATATGTATTATTTATATTTTAAAGCAATGTGATTTATCCATTGAGGAAAAAATATATTGGCTTGCATTTCAGTAAGTTCTGTTTGGAAAATAGATGGAAATATTTCATGATAAAAGAATACTGATAAGTACATTAAAAACCATATAAAAATCAAAAAATTTCTAGCAAATATTGAGTAACATATAGTTATGCTATTTGAAAATTTTAATTAGCAGAAATCAGAAAATAACATTTGATATTTTACATAACAGGAAATAAAGCAGATTATGCATATTTTTAAATAAATACTTATAAGTTTGAGAACTTTTTTATGATTTAAAAAAATGGATCCATGTCTATGAGATATGGCTCTCCAAGGCCCTTTCTAATACAGTAGCGTTGCTAATGACAATTATGACTGTTATCAGTTCCCCCAAATTCTAGCTGGTGCTTCATTTAGGACTCATAGCCAATCCATGTGACACCTGAGGCCTAATGGGCCCTCTTGGCTCCCATGAGAGATGCAGAATCCCTTGACTGTCTTGGTGGAAAATTTTTTAGGTAGCTTTGTCTGAAGAATAAGGAGATACATGCTTTCTACCAGGGGCTGAAAGATAGAGGGAAAACAACAAACTTAGCAAACCTAAACCTTCAAATGTTAAACCTTAGGGCAGAGTCCCTGCAATAGATTTCACCTCATCCAGTTTGTCTTTCATGGTATTTGACAAGTGTAACAAGAATGTCACCATACTTCTGGGAAATTTCCTACAAAGAAGGGCAGGCCATTATTCTTATCTGTGGTAGCTATGGCCAAAGAGAAACCTGAAATTCTCCAAGAGTGTCCAGATATGAACTACTGCCAAACACTACTCTTATTTTTTGCTAAGAAAATGAACTTTATAGATGTGGTGACATCTGAAAGAAATGTCCCAGTTGCTGTGCTTAGAGAACATCAAAATGAAACATGATGGCATTAGACAAGGTTTGCAAGAAGAGGTAGCCTGGGTTCACAAGCCTGTCCAGGAGAAAGGCATGAAAACGTATGCAATCTTTATTTTGAAATTTACATACCTGTAGGCAAACCAAATAATTTTAACATTTAAAGAGATTTTTGCAGTTTTAATAATACTGTACGAACTTATGTTTTCCTTTGTGGACTCAAATCAAGTTTCTGGGAAATTTAACATTTTAGGTTTTCTAAATTCTGGCTTGAATTATATGAAAAATAAATCTTCCTTCAGAAACTTTCTTAGAACTATCAGTTTGTTGCTAACAGTCTATATTCAAAAGTACTTAGTATGTTTAAAACTGGATGCCATCTCAAAGATGGTCTTCTGATTTAATATATTTTAAATGTGTCATTTGAAACATCTTGTTTTAAAATTTTTAACTTACGGTGTCATTTTGCAGTAACAACTATTCTTATAAAAAAATTAGCTTATAGGTAACCAATACTTGTGAAAGTTTTGCAATGTATAACAAGTTACCCATCAATACAATTTCAAATGGAAAAACAATAAAGTATTGAAGTAGACTTTACAGGTGGAATAGAGAGCCCAGGCTTCTTGTGTCATACAGAGGAGTAGAGATTTGATTTCTACCCTAATGAAAATTAGACTAGTTGTAGAGACAACACTGACACCTATAGCACCCAAATGAAAATTACAGAAAAAGTGCAGGTGTTAAACTTTGTAATTAGTGCCAACCAGTTCGAAGAACCCTTGATGTAGCAATGTAGCAGGGAAGTTTTGTACTAGAGGGGATAGGCCTGTGAGGGCTCTGAAGTATGTATATATATATATATATATATATATATATATATATATATATATATATACATACACACACACACACATATATATATACACACACATATATATATACATATATATACACACACATATATACACACATATATATATATACACACACACACATACATATAATATGAATATATATAATATATAACTTGGATAAATACAAGAGAAACAGAAAGACATTCCAAGAAATGGGAACAAAATGAGAGTAGAAAAACAGAAATTTGATTTGCCTGTTGGATAACGAGTACAAGAGTTTGACTATCTAGAAGGAATGTTGAGCAATGGTAAAATGACAAAAATAATACTGAATGATTATCCTTAAATGGAGTCAGGATCTCAACACAGGCAATCTGGCTTCAGTGCCTGTGTAATTTCCACCATATTAAACATAACCAATAGGTTGAAAAAGTCCAAATGGAAAATCAGTGTCCCAGAAGGAAGAGGAAGGCAAAGTGTCCACCTTTTTGCCAGGGCAAAAAAAGAAACATGACTTGTTCATTCATTTATTTACCAAATGTTCTTGAACGTCTACCATGGAAAGCTTCTACGCTCCACATCAGAAAAATGCAAGTGAAAAAGATACACTCTCTGCCGTCAAAGAATTCCTAGACCCACTGAGGAGACAGGCAAGTAAATAGGCATTGGTTCATTTTCAGAAAGGAGGAAGGCTACTACTTCCTCAAATACAATGTTCTCTCTTTTCTTTCTTTCTCCTTCTTTCACTTCTTTACCTCTCTCCCTTTCTTCCTCCATCCCTCTCTCTTATCTTTCCCCCTTCTCTTCCTTCCTTCCTCTCTTTCCTTTTCTTTTCTCAGTACTTGCCTCAAGTAGTATATTAAGTTGCAGGAAAGACAACGTATTACAAAATTCTTAAGACAACTGCAAAAGCAAGTTTTCAAGCAGCGATTTCTTGTAGTGGCATGATGTAAATTTGAAAACATAATATTTAAACCAAAATTCAAGAAGGTGATTCTCAAGAGATACTATTATTGATATTAGAAGAATAAATGTGGCCCTCAGAAGTTTGCTATTTGTCACTACTTCTTTATTGCAAAGTCTGTATAGTAAAAATTGATAGTAGTATACCAATTTTCTAAAATATTATGCTTTAGTACATAAGTAACATGAATCATACTAATTTAATCACTAAGAAGGAATTTAAGATATTTCTTATGGAGGAATCAATATTCTAGAGACAATAGTAAAAGCATTTACTATAGGGAGTATAATTATTCATTGAACACTACTATTCACAAACCAGAAGCATAGATCGTATTCAAAAATAATATTTGTTCTGAAAGTTGACAATTTTATATTTAGCTAAGTAAAATTATCAACCATTCCAAAATGATTGAGTACCTGTTTACCATTTTGGTATCTCAAGGAGATTTGCCATATATCTCAAACAAATTGAACATCCTTTTATATTTATATAAATATCAAAACTTTCTGCTAATAGTCTCACCCTTTGCCTTCCACTGTGATGTAAGCTTCCTGAGGCCTCCCCAGAAGTGGAGCAGATGTTGGTGCCATGATTTCTGTAAAGCCTGCAAAACCGTGAGCCAATTTAACCCCTTTTCTTAAAAAAAAAAACTAATAGGAACGATAACAAAAAAAGTATTATATTGTCTTTCCAAGTACCTTATTTGAAATTGTCATTCTACAAACAGTCATTAAATTTTATTAAAATAGTTTAGTTGAATTCAGTCATGTGTATGTACTTAAGCATAATCAAATTATAATATTTGCATATTTTAAATTTAAATTAATTTTAGTTATTGTTATTTTTCCAACTTACAACAGGATGAAAACATATTAATAGTGCAGTCTGCTCCTGGTTTTGTCCATGTTGAGGCTCACTATTGGTCTGCTTGACTCTGGTTTTTTCTACATGTAAACTCCTCTGCCATCTCCACATTGTGGAAAACATGACCACTCACAGCTCAGGAACCTCAACTGAAAGACCTAACACTTCCCCAACAGTTGTGGAAGCAGAGTCTCATGAATTCTTGTGTCAAATGCTTATGCCACTACCCATCATTCTCACTCAGACTGGTCAGATATCCACTGTCATGACCAGAGATGATTGGGATGATCTCTGTCTGTCTCACTCATTCCCCACATTTAAATGGAGTTCTCTTACCAGAAATCAAGTAGGAAAAGTACAGATGTATCCACAGTCTACCTAGGAAAAACACACCCTTTTTTTTTTTTTGAGACGGAGTCTCGCTTTGTCTCCCAGGCTGGAGTGCAGTGGTGCAATCTCGGCTCACTGCAAGCTCCACCTCCCGGGTTCACGCCATTCTCCTGCCTCAGCCTCCCGAATACCTGGGACTACAGGCGCCCGCCACCACGCCCAGCTAATTTTTTTGTATTTTTAGTAGAGATGGGGTTTCACCATGTTAGCCAGGATGGTCTCGATCTCCTGATCTACTGATCCGCCCGCCTTGGCCTCCCAAAGCAAGCACAACACAAGGACTGTGATCACAGGGAAGATTAAGTTGCATCTTGTACCCTGGTTTAAATGTAATCAGTTTAGGTTTTCTTCCCTTATCCTGAAAGAATACTTGGGCAGGCCCATGATTTTTGTGGTTACTCAGAAAATAAAAAGTTCTTCAGTTAATGGTAAACACAGTTTTGACTTAAAAATTGGAATGTCCAGTATAAAATATTAAACACAATTTCAAACTTGATTTATCATCAAAAGTTCTTTTATCCTAAGCTTGGAGCCTCTCTCTCCGGAGGTATGCCATAGGGAAGCCAAGGTGAGGAGAAGTGGGAGGAAAGAGGGTGTGTCCCTCAGCTCTCTGCCTTCACCCTTTTTCTCTTCAGGGAGTCCATGACAGACTGTCTCCTACAGTGCCCTGTTCAGGCAGATGTCTATTTCACATTGTCTTCTGCCAGTTTCAATAACTTTAGGCCTATATGTGTTCATCTTCATTCTTTTTCTTTTTTTGTAGAAAGAGGGACTTGCTGTGTTGCCCAGGCAGGCCTTGAACTCCTAGCCTCAAGCAATCCTCCTGCCTTGGCCTCCCAACGCACTGGATCCCAGGTGTAAACCACTGCACCTGGCTGCTATCTTCGTTTTTTTCTGCTGAGGTTTCTTGGCTCTTATTAGACAAGATCCATGACATCCTACACATGTCCCACTTCTGTACCGTCTGTGCATATTTGTTACCTGGCCTCTTCTGGCCAATATACATAATAACAACTCTGTCCAGTAAAATCACTTAACCAATTTTACTCAGTAGAGCCCTTTTCTTTCTAATTCTGCATATGTCAGCTTCATGAGGGCAGAAAGCTTAAACAGGTTTGTTTATTGCTCCATCCTCAGCACATGGACTAACAAGTGTCATGTAATAGGCACTCCATGTTGAATGCATGAACATGAAGTTGGGATCATCTGCTCTCATTAAGATATCCTGATATTGATCACTGATGGCTCTGTCAGAACGGAGACAGGAAAGATCCAGTTTTAGCATCATTTTAGACACGCACAAACAATTCCCACATTTCCTCTTCCTAATATAGTAAATACCATTATCCCACTTATAACTGAAAATGTGCTTACACTTCCCCAGAGGCCAGCAACACAAAATCAAATCCAGCTACTCTGTAAAACTGTATGTCCAGGATCTCTAGAGAAGCACATTTTTCTTATTCTGATGAGCATGTGACTTGTCATGTGTGGCAAAGGTTGACTAAATTGTAAGTTTAACCCTCCTGTGTTCTGGTTATCTATTGTTGAGTCACAGGCTACTCTAAAACTAGTGACTTAAATCAATGACATTCATTCTGTTCATAAATGTGCAATTTGGGCAGGGCTTGGTGGGGACACGTTATCCATGCTCCTGTTGGAGTTAGCTGAAACAGCTTGAAAACTGATGGCTGGCATCATCTGAAGGCTCAGTTATTAACATTTAGTTGATGCTGACTCTCAGTAGGACCTCTGCTGCGGTCATGACCAGAATCCTAGCACACGGGTTCTTCATGTGGATACTTAGCTTCCTCAGCGCATGGTGGCTTGGTTCCACCTTAAGAGAATCAAGCAGAAGCCTCATCCCTTTTATCTCAAAAGTCACACAGTGTCACCTTTTCCATGGCCACTGACCTACCCAGATTCAAAGAGAAAATATAGACCTGTACACCTACTGATGGACAAGTGTCAACATTGCACCATAATAAGAGCACAAAGGATGGGATATAGATTATTGTGATCACCTTTGGAAAACATACTCTTCTACCTTCCAAAATACCAAACATGCAGTGATGAAGACAGGCAAAATTAACCAGTATTTGAAAAAAGTGAAAGTAAGACAATAGTGGTTTCATACCTTATACCACCACCCTGTGGCCAGGAAGAGCAAGGCCCATATTTCTGATCACTGTTCCTCAGCCTGCCAAACTTGGGCCACCAGTTATACTTCCCCAAACTCCCCGCCACCCTCTACCCCACTACAGCCTTGTTAGAGAGGAGTTTAGGGAATAAGTCTCCATCTTTGACAGCTCTCTTTTTGTTGTTGGTGGTTCTGAAGCTCTGAGAATGGACTTAAGACAAGTGGAAGAAATTAATCAATACAGTATTACCTAAAATCTGAATTGCTGGTCCATTAGTTTTCTCTTAGTTCCACCAATTAAAATGCTGGTTCATGGCCTGTTTGCCCTCAGAAATGCTCGTTGCCTTTTTGCTCTTCTAAATTTGGTGGTCTCTTCATCAGGATCCTATGTCATCTACCTTTTGTTGGAAGCAAGGAGCGAGGGTACTCCTCCCTCTGCCTTGGGTAGAATCTCTGGCCAGTAGCTGCATTTCCTTCATGACCCTATCACCTGGGTTTCAGGAACACTCCATTCTCCATTCTCCCTTTCTTCCTCCATTGTAGGGAGATGGTGCCCCACCCCCCGCTGTTGCTAATTTCTGGGTTGACATACCATCCCATCTGACTTCTCTCAACTATTCCACCACCTAAACTAAGTCCATGGTTAAATGCCCTCTGTTTCAAAACCATAAAGTTACTCTAGTGTTATTTAAGTATTCCAGTATTATTTTAGTTATCCTATCTCTGTTGCAGTTTTTGTGTATTTGTAGCTGAATCTACAAATTTTTAAAAATCAAACTAAGTCTATGTCACGTTCTCTTTCCTTTTAAACTGTGGCTTCTCCCATTTTAAAGTAAGTTAAGAATGTATTAATTTATTCACTTTCAGACAAGACAGGTATTTACTGAACACATTACAAACTATACACATTTAATAAATAATTCTCACAACTCAATGAAGTTGGGACATGACCCTGCTCTTATAGTGAAAAACAACTGAGATTCAGATAAGTTAATAAAATAGCTTATCCAGAGGTCTTTTTATTATTCTTCCCACTAAAATACACTATGTCACTGCATATCTTATTTTCACTCATTGGTCTTTATCCTGGTTTAAAATTAGCCATTTGGAATTTGGTAATAAATTTCTGGGTGTTTAGTGAGCTCCTCCAAAGTCCTTATTTATGTTCTTGATAAGTATTTTTTTCATCGATGCTTTGATAAATCAAAGCTTTTGGCTCAGAGTTAGTTACTATAAGAATCCAATTGGTACTAAGGTAAGGAAGGGGAGTTAAGGCATTTCAGGATAGGTGGACACAAGCGAATCACCAATAATTATTTCAGTTTTTCACTATTTGCATACTACTCTCATAGAACCCAAAAAATTTAATTTGTAGAAAGAACATCTACAAATAAATAAATATTAGCATTGAAATAAACCTGTTACTTGCTTACACAGCAGGCCTGTTATTAGGAAGAAATTTCATTGAATTCATAATATCCTCATTATTATAACTATAGTCAGCTATTCTCATGTCACAAAAATGCTTCTTCATAAAGTGATGATTTTGTTGAAGCCATGTATGCAATGAGCCAGATGAATAGCATCAAAGTTTATTTGGTATCACCTTGAAACATGTTTGCAGGCTCAGAAACACGCATCTTTTATGTATATGTGTATTCCTTTACACTCTTACATGTAGACTAATTTTGTGACAATTGGAGTTTTTCTGAGTTTCTTTTGGGGAAAAAATATAGAAAAACGAAAGGTTGAATGTGAAGACAGAACCAAAGAAATGTGAAAAGCTGAAAGTGAAAATAACAGGTCTCTGTCATAGTCAGGACTCTAAGATGTCCCCCAGTATTCCCTGTCCCAGGTGTACTCACACTACATAATCCTCAGAACTGTAAATTTGATGTCTTTTACATGATTAGGTTAGGTTAAATGATACCATTAACCCTGAGATGGAGACATCCTCTTGGAGGTTGAGACCTCATCAAATGACCCTTTAAAACATAGTTTTCTCTGGCTGGTCATAGCAGGGGAAGTTGGAGAGATTCAAAGGGCATTTTAGTTGCTGAGACGGAAGGGACCTCTTGGTAAGGAAGTGAGAGTAGTCTCTAGGAGCTTAGAGCTGGTCCCAGCTGATAGCCAGCAGGGAAACAGGGATTTTGATGCCACAACTGCAAAGACCTAAATTATCCCAGTGACAACAACGAATTAGGAAAAGAACACTCAACTCCATGTGAAAACGCAGCTGGCTGACACCCTGATGTTAACCTGAGCAGAATCCAGCCTTGAATTGCCTGGACTTCTGACCCACAGAACTGAGCTAAATGGATGTTGTTACATGTTGCTCAATTTGTAGTCATCCATTACCTAGCAGTAGAAAATGAATACACCTCCAAATGTGGCCAAACAAATCCCTTTCAGTGCACTGGGAAAGCATGGGTTGACAGAACATAGAGGAGTTTTTGGGCACAGATTGTCCAATAGAAGTCATACCGTACCCTGAACAACTCCTGTGGGTTCACAAAGTATTCAGATTTACGGAGTACTGAGGTTTTATCATTCAGCTTTAGTATGTTAAAAGCATGTATAGTGTCCAAACTCATCAAGCACATTTGATCTGGGCAAAACTCCAAGAATTCTATGAGTTTGAAGCTCAGTTCCTCTCAGCATTTGGGTCCATAATCATGTTTGTAAGCAGATGGTAATCCAAGACATTGTATGATAGAAAAACCCTACCTCAATATTTTCTCTCTAAATCCAAATCACTTCCCTAAGATGTGTAATAGTCAAATAAAATGGTAAACTATATTTTGTGGAATAAGCTGGCATTCTTATTGTTGTACTTACTGACCAACAAATGGATTTGAATTTTTGAGAATTCTGTGTGCAAATGCAATTTACAAATACCTGAAAAGCACAAACATAATCACAAAAACCTAAAAAATGTGTTAAAGACCATGCTGATAATTATTTTCTCACAAAGATAATTGTAAAGTATATTATTAAATTGTGTTGGGCAAATATAACATTCCTGAAAAGTTGGGCATAAAAAAGCATTTTTAATAACATAATTGCTACTGAACATATTCAATTTTAGAGATGGAGTTTATTGGTAGCCCTTACCATTTGCCTTTATCTCTTTAACTATGATAAATGTGATTTCTGAGCATTTATTTAGGGAGTGAAGTTAACCTTATGAATAACAGCATACTTCTGTACACAGTATGAGTTGTATTGGTTTGCTCTAGAGTGTTAGTATCTGAAAATGATGAAAAAGAGACCTATCTATTACATACTTATTGTTAGCACTGACTGATGGACTGAGTAGGGCATGAACACACTTTTGCTGCAATGAGACTTTAAGTATAGATTTTAAATTTATTGATGCCCTGAATACTAGAAGATTTTATATACTGCAATGCCATCTCAATCATGAATCAAAGTGTGGTATGTGGGCCATGTGAGATGATTTTATAGATAGCACATCTAAGAACATTTTTACTTAAGTAGGTATTTATTTGAATGTATATAAATGTGTCTGTCCTTTCTATTTAAAGAAAATGATATGTGTTGAGTAAAGTATTTATGTCAAGTAAAGCCATGATGCTATTTTCTAAAAAATCAAATATATTTAAGTAAAAATGAAATGAAATATAATAAAATGATTATTTTAGGTGTTAAATGGATATGGCAAAAATTGTCGAAGTGGTTTAAATTAATTAAACATTTAAAATGTTTTATTTCTAATTTTTTCCTTAATTTGATTCCCAATTCTAGTATCAATTATAACCCTTTACTTTTCTAAAATATGTTTACAGAAGGCATTAAGTTAATGTCAGCAATTAAATGTATTTATTTTAGAATTTAAAGTTATTTATTTTAGTTGTGCAAATAATTTTTCTAAATTATTCACAAACTACTTTCTCCTATATAAAGGTTCTAAATCCAAATTTCTCCACATCTTGTGATATGTGTTTTAAAATACAATTAAGATAATCTATTTTCAACCTTTGCTTCATATAATAGTTTTGAAATACATATTTTTTAATTGGGTCAATAAAATAGTTGATCAACAATCACTTTTATAATCACTGCTTTTGTATGCATATTTTAAAATTTTAGTATATAGATGTTTATATTAAAAATGGTTTTAGCATATTTATATAAAGGATTTTTATATGTGTTATACAGTTAGTTGTTAGTGGTTACATAATAATCGAAACTAGTATCTGACACTTTGTTCAGTATTTGTGATATAACAGAAAATACTGATGTGTAAATTGTCTGTGTTCAGTATAAAACAGAACTAAGTCACAGTGCTTTTGAAGATGAACAAAAATGCTATTTCATTATGAAATATTTTGCACACCTCCAAATTATATTAGAATTTTCCCACTCCACCCTTAGGGCCTCTATATTATGTGAATCCTCCCCAGATCATCAGCAATGAAAATGGATAATGTTTTATTCTGTACTCTGCCTCATTCAGTGTTAGTTACTACTGCTATTGCCTCTGTCTATATCTTACCATGTGATTGACACCAAAAGCAATCTTAGGATGGAGAAGAAGCAGAGTCTTCTTATTTAGGCGCACCCTGGAATGCATTATAATTACATACTCAAGGGAACTTATGCAAAACACAATTTTACATTTACATTATGGGCTCTGCCTGCAGGCAATGACAGTAAAGAGTAATGAGATGAAGCCAAAGATTTCTGCAAACTCTTCTCTCTGCAAAAAAATGGGAGGAGGAGGCTCAAGGGAAAGAAATCCTGTAAAAGTTGCACGTCATAAATAAAATACTTAATTTGAAAGGAATATGAGAAAGAAGACTGTTTTAGTTAGGGAACAGGTTAAGCTGATATAACAAAAAGACCAAGAATACAATAGCTCGAAGGAAAAAAAAAAAAAAAGAATTTTATTCTCTCACATATCGGTCCAGAGGAAGGCAGGGGATTCAGGGCAAGCAGGAGACTCTGCTTCCCAAGGGTACAGTAAGGAACCCAGGTTTTCTATGTGGGGCTCTTTGAACCCCTCAAGAGCTTCCTCTTGACTACATATTAAAAACTGGCTCACCAGCACTGTGTCTACCCAAAACTAAGGAAAGGAGAAAAAAGAGAGCAGGGAGCAAGACTGGGATATTGCATATATCAGTTCCCCTTACATTGCATTGTCAAGAACCCAGCGTTACATATCCACATAGAAAACTTGGAAACTATAGTGTCTTGCTGGGCAAACACTCAGCAAGAACTTGAGAAGCTTTACTATTAAAGGAAAACAGGGAAAGTATATTAGAGAAAGACTAGAAGTCTCTGCCTTTGGCCTTGAGCTGCCAAGGATCCACATGCACCATCTTCCCATACAAAGAACACAGCAGGTTCTCTCCTAAAAATGCAATTAAAGCTTATCCAGTTATTGTTCCCAGATCAAAATCTGAGATCTTTATTTCTCTCCACCTGATCTAAAACTAGCTCTTCAGAAATTAGTGGTTTATTATCTAATATACAAGTTACTTACAATCCCATATATCTCAATGCAAAATGGTGGAGTAGGATAAAGAAACGGAATAAACACTACAATTCTGGAAAGAAAGACTAGGAAACATAGTAATCACTATGACATTGTTTGGCAGGAATTCAAAAGGCTTCCTTCCCAAGAATACAGTAAATTCCTTGGTTAGGCTCTGGTTCTGATCTCTGGAAGGAACTCCTTTATCTACTGTGCCCCACCCCCATGGCCAGTGGGTTTACCCCTTGTGAGTCATTTTTGCCCATTATCCATTTTCTACTGTGGTGTCACCTTATATCAGTCTGGGTCGAATCAGAAGAGAAACCACAGAGTAATTTGAACAAGGAAAGTTTACTATAAATTACTAACTATAACAGGGATTTGTAATCACGAGAATTTGGCTAATAAGAATAAAAGAGAACTAAATAATAGGAATTGTTTATATAAGGAGCAGTCACTATCCTTAGGGCTGAGATAGAACTCCAAGGAAGAAGCCCCCAGGGACTGAAATGTAGACCTCAGTGGAGAGACCATGGCTCATTGAATGTCAGAGAAGCCACTGCAGGGTTGACTCAGTGAAATTTACCAGAAATCCACCCTCTAGGGTGCTAAAAATAGCTGTTCATGAGGTGGTGTCTTGCTATAGGAACATCACTATGAACCTGCCTGAGGAAGCTGCTGCCTCTCAGTGCTGCTGATTGCCATACTCCGTAGGAACCAAGCAATGGAGAAGCCACACGTGCTAAAAGAGCCTGCCAGTTGAGCACACCAAAGCTGGAAAGAAAACCCTTTCCTTCTGCAATCTCTTTCCAGCACCTTCTGTTGACAGAGTTTAACACTGTACCAACTGGCAGGAGAAAAATATTTAAAGGGTAACCTCCATTTCTGCAGTGCAGGCCATAAAAGATGAATTTATTAGAGTGGGGAGGCATAAGATGGTAAGTGGCACACATCTGAAGTGAGTGGTTGGGAGTTACCCTGTTGGTGACTGCATGGCTTTTGCAGTATGCTTTCTGCTGGTACAGTTTCCAGTTGGAGATTGCTGGGTCAGGCACCATGTTTGTGATTTCCTTGGCAAACAATGTTCCCCCAAATTTAGTAGGCTCCTCGTCTCCTTGTTTCCACTCATGTCCATGTTAAAGAGGCTTCAGTCAAAGATCACATGTTGTTACAGTTCTTAAGCTTTCAGACTCTATTTTCTGGTTGTTACATTCAGTATACCCAGCTCTCCCTTAATTTAGAGTGGCTACCTCAAGGCCACCTAAAAAAAGACTTAGGTGAGAATGGAATGCCCTCAGTCTATTGTTGTAGGGCTGGCTCCCACTTTCTGGCTGGGAACATATATAGGAGGCTTTTGCCTGAGGGACAATGTTGTCTCCTGTGGTTTGGGAGAAACAGAAAAAGTTGGCTTTGCCAAACCTGAAAGCCCCTAATACTGTCAAATTAGAAAAATATGAATTTATACTATATATAAGAAAGCCTCCATTTTAACTATATTCCCTTTCACTTCTGCTTGCAAAGTGACTAATTCTTATCTGACAATCACTGTCAAACCTGCCACATCTGTTTCTTTACTAACTACTTTCCAATCAATCAGTCATTACCTCATATTGTAAGTTTATGTTACAGCAGCACCTCATTTCAGGTAATAATGTCTGCATTAGTTTGTTATACACTATAATAAATAACAGCGATTCAAACAATAAGTAAGTGTGTATTTCTCTCACATAATAGTCTAGATGTAGGCAGACTGCCTCCAGGAGGTGTACTGGTCCCCTTTGATATACCAAGAGACTAGCCAACCACTTGGGAGACAAGCTGATTGCCTTGACTCAGACTTTAACTCTTAACGGAGCAACAATATGTCCTCAAGCAGACACCTTCCTTAGATAGGAGTTTGCTGTCTCTGCCCACAGTTTCACCATGTCAAGTCTTACAGAACATCAGATTCAGCATCATACCTCATCCATCACTCAAACCAAGAGACTTACTTTACAGCAAAGAAGTTAGGACCACTGATACATTGTCCAATGGTCTTAAATACTACACCTCACTGAGAAATCTAATCATGATGGTAAAAATAAACATAATAACCTGTTTAAGGCCCAGATAAGTTCCAGCTCAAGGCACAACCCTTGATGGGTTGGGATACTCCAACATGAGGCATGTGTGCTAAATCAATGGCTAATATATGGTGCTGTAACTCTGAAACTAGAATACACGTTGCTCAGAACATGAGGTGAAAGTAGGATTTCACCAAGAAATCCTCAGAACATGAGGTGAAAGCAAGATTTTATCAAAGGGTGAAAGTAGGACTGACCCCTCAAACCATTACTCCCTGTGACCCATTTGCAGAATTCGCGCTTTTGACTTTGAAACTTTATGTCAGCCATATTTGAGGTCCTGGTCTGGAAGTGGGGTGGGATGAGAAATGCTTCTATCAGGACACAAGGGTTACAGTGAACTTGATGGTACAGTTACCACCTAGTAACCTGGCTCCTTAATGCTGGGAACAAATTGGCCAAAAAAGAAAGTTATTGTAATGCTGAATGTAATTCTGATCACCACGAGCTATGGTAGCTGGTGTACAACGAGGAGAGTGAAGAGAATATATTGAGTGCAGGGGATTCACAAGGCTGTTACTTTGTGCCTTTATGCCCACTGATCAGGACAAATGGGCAATCATAGCAACTGCAGGCCAAGTAGGATATGGCAAGTAAGGGGTCTCTCAGGGATGAGGGCCTCGATGATTCCATCAAGCAAGCAACCAAGATCAGCTGAGATGCTAGCTGAGAGATAGGGAGATCTAGAGATTTTAAAAACATGGCAGAGGAAGGAAATGTTGAATGTTAGTGACAGAGGTAGGATTAGCTGCAGTAATAGGAACATAATATTAATATTATGCGCTTCTTAATATTAAGCGCTTGCCAAGATTGTGGCCAGCCACAACTCGAAGGGAACTCTGTGAATGAATGCAGGATACGAGCAGATCTGAGTGGTGGAAGCAGAAAGTGCGCTGTGTTAAACACCATTGTGCACCATTTTAAATCTCCATGATCACACCCCTTATTCCAGCCCCTTCTTAGGCAACGCGTTCTAGACAAAATGACCAGGCTTTACAGTGCACCCAGACAATGCCTAACCTTCGATTTGTGCTGTGTATCTCTCTGCTCAAGGAAACTCAAAAGATACAAATGTATGTGTGCAATCCAAAGTGTGGGGTAGTTAGCACCGGGGAACCATTTTCACCAGTAGGGAGATGAGAACCAATGGAAAAAATGATATCCCCTTTTCAGCCCTAGGTAGTTCTGGCTACCTATAAGGGTTGTCAGAGGGTTTCATTGGATGGAACACCAGACAACTATAGCAGTGACTGTAACTTGATAACTCTTCCTATTTCACATTCCTTCTCCCTTATTCCTGCTCCTGTGATAAGTTCTAAACTACTTGCATGTAGGTATTTGACTCAGATTTGATTATCAAGGCAAACTTATTTAAGGTAGGAGGCTCTGCTCCAAAAGGTCATCTAGGAATCAAGGTTCCTTTCACCCTGTTGTTCTCCCAACCTCCCAAGTTCCTCCCAAGTTCCTCTCTGCTCCTCTGCATAGTTAAAGCCAACTCCCTAGCACCAGGTCCATATTTCAAAAAACAGTGAAAAAGAAATCGAGGAAGACAAGAACATTACTTCAAATGAAGTGACCTGGAAGTTGCACTTTTTTTTTTTTTTTTTTTGAGAGAGGGTCTTGCTCTGTCACCCATGCTGGAGTGCAGTGGCATGAACAGGGCTCACTCCAGGTTCAACCTCCCCAGGCTCAAGCAATCCTCCCACCTCAGCCTCCCAAGCAGCTGGGGCCACAGGCACACACCACCACACTTAGCTAACTATTTTTTGTAGAGATGGAGTCTTGCCATGTTGCCCATGCTGGTCTCAAACTCCTGAGCTCAAGCCAGTCCTCCCACATCGGCCTCCCCAAGTGCTGGGATTACAGGCATGAGCCACACCGCACACATCCCTAATCACTTTTTTAAAATTCGCTTTAGCAACAAGTCACATAGCCACTCTACTGCAAAGGAACCTGTAGTCTAGCTGGATAGCCCTGTGCCCAGGTAAACCTTTGTTGATCCTGTTCCTAAATGAAGAATGGGAGACGTGGATATTGACAGCAGTCTCTGCCACAAAAACATATAGAAAATGTAGTAGTATATATTGAAGAATTTTCAAAACATGTTCCCTCTACCAACGAGTAATAACCGCTAGGTATCTGGTCATATAAGTATGCCTCAACATTTTATCTGACACTAATTCTGCCATTTTCAACCAACGCACTCTGTATCTGCCATCTGTGTTTCATTTTCCTTGTATATCCACACCTGTTTTGCCTGTTCACTTAAGAGAACGTTGATTTTTATTATGATGGCTTTATGTATTAAAATTAATAATGCTACTTCTCACATTTACTTCACATTTTCGTTAGTGTATTTTAATTTTGGTTCTGGTATTTTTAAATTATTTTGGGGCTCAATATACAATGATGGCTGTTTGAGGCCTATTCATTTTGTCCCATTGATTTATCTTGATTATTGCCAGGGCATTCCATTTTATTAGTGTAGCTTCAGAAAACATTCAATAGCTAGTCTAGTCCTTATGTTATTTAACATCTACTCATCTTCTCACCTGTTTGTTCTTCCAGAGAGATACTAGAATTATTTTTTTCCAAGACCAAAAGTAAATTCCACTGACTTTTTATTGTAGCAATGTTAGCAGAATAACATAGTATGGGAAGGCTGACATAGTACTGTTTTCTCACACACACAAAAAAACCTGGCTAGAATGCATAAACTCTATTTATGCACCTTTTTTGAATTTCATTAAAAGTTTATGAAAAAGTGAAGTATAAATTTTTTACCTTTCACTCTGCATATGTCTCAAGATTTTCTTCTAGGTGCTTTATAACTTAATATTTTGCAGTCTTTTTGTTTTATTGAGCAACTTATATTTGTTAGTATCAAGGAAAACATTGGTTTTTACATTTAATTTTTGTGTTAAATTACCTCACTGTGGTCTCTATCAGTACTAATTTTTCTAATAATTCTTTGGGTTTTCAAAGACAATATTTTTGGATGTTAGCAATAATTATGCCAATTATTTCTGCATTCTATTTAATTGAGTTTCTTAACACTAGCAAAGCAGAGTTAACTCACGGTGGGGACAACAGCTATTTTAGTATATACTATTACTATTATTTCTGTTATTTGCATTTTTTATGTAGTTCTTTTGCATCTGTAATAAGTGAGATGACCATTATATTTTTGCTTATTTCTCAGATTTTAATGCTAATTTAAGGAAATGCATTAGGAAGTTTTTACTTTTTCAAGAGTATATAACATCATTTGAATTGGCTCATACTTCAGAAATTTAAAATAATTAAATACCCCAGATTCTCTAGGCCTAATGTCTTTGATAGAATCATTTAATTACATCTTAAAATATTTTTTGGTAACTCACTTAACAGTTTCCATGTTTTCTGAATCATTTTGGTAAATAATTTCTCCAGAAATCAGTGATTATATAAAGATGATTGTATATTTTTTAGCATTAAAAAAAAAACTACAGGTTTAAAATCAAATACCAAAAAATAAAGTACAGAAGAAAAAATGACTGAAAATTTCACTACACAGGTAACACTGCAACAGACCTTTTTGCATGTATTTCTCCCAGTCTTTCTTGTGAGAATATTTTATGTAATTCTCTCCCTAGTTTTCATAAAAATTATGCTCATTTTAAAGTATTTTTTTCTGATCGTAACAGGAATGCGATTATTCTATAACATTTGGGAAAGGTATAAACTCAAAATACTAAAACTCCAAATTTTTCTGTTCAGTGATAACTAATGTTAATATTTTGTTGCTATTTCCTTGGATTTTGTTAGCATAGTTATCAAAATGTATAAGCTGGACTGAAAGGCAATACAGCAGTTAAGAGAACTTGTGCTAGAGCCAAACTACCTAGATTTAAATCCTGGTTCCTCTGTTTTATCAGCTTTGTGAACTTGGTCCGCTACATCTCTCTCTGCCTCAGTTTCCTTATCTGTAAAATGGGAATAATTATCACAGCAATTACCTCAGACTGGAGTTAGGATTAAATGAATACTCAATGCTTGACAAAATTGTTAGCTACCATTATCATCTTTAAATAGTTAACAAGGACATTCACAAGTCCTACAGGAAGGATGGAGGGCTGAGTAAATCGTAACAAAATTACTCAGGCCACTCAATAAGATTTTTTAAGGTTATAAAAAAACCATTCTCCAGGTTTTCACCCAATAAAATTACCTTCATGTTCTCTAATGCACTTCTGCAGCAGGGCAGATTTATTCGTCTATTACTACTTTGTTTCTGCTAAGGAACTAAACCAGTAGGGACAGCAGTGATTCAGAGGAGGCGGCGGCATAATTAGCTGGGTTTTTCTTAGCAGTATCCACTATTACTGTTAATAGGGATCAAACCATGGTCTCCTCTCACTGTATTGTGGCAGAATTTAGGGTTCTTGTTAGCAACAAACACGGTTTCTTAATCCCATCTAACTACCACCTCCTTTTCTAATCCATACACTATTAAATGATTCTGGACCAAGCACTTCCAGTGCTTTCTTATTGCCTTCTGTCTCTAATCTCCTGTACACAGTTACAATGAATTTCAGCCCACATATTCAGGGCAAGGGTAATGGCTTTTTTTTTTCTATGCTGGTCTTTGGACATCAGGCCATGAATGTCACTGCTATGTTGTCTCTTGTTCAAACTGGAGGCCTTTTCAAGCATGACTTTCAGGCATATAGAGATCCTTATGCAATCATTTAAATTTACTGTATTGTTTATGCACATGTTTTTCATTTTCCAGTAAGGGAAACAGTTGAAATCCAAAAGCCAAGCAAATTCCTTATTTTTCTTCCTTTTATGAGACTGAATAAGAACTGAAAAAATGGAAGAAAGGACATGAGGTAAAGGGAGGTATCTGGGGAAAATCTTCAGGTAATATTTAAAAATATATTGCTACATACACATCCTTACTGTTCTTTGGGCATGGATTCATGAGATTAAAAAATATTTGAAAGACATTTAATGCTCAAACTAATATGGCTTCAAGATAAGTACCTTACAAATTCCTTTTAATTTGAGGTGACTAGGAAATAAGAGACACTGTTATGAATATAGACCAATAAATAGGCAGTTAAGTTTACGGGGCAGTAACTTAATAAATCTGCTAGAAAATAACTTGGCCTTGAGCAACTGTTTCAAAGTATGCCATTATTTAAAATAATTACTTTTGCCCCTGAGTTTTCCATATGAATGTAAAACATTCAACTGAAACTCAAAATGTATTCTGACTACCTAGATAGGTCTACAAATTCTTAAAGTGTTGTAAGAATAGATAGGGTTAATAATTACTAAATTCTTAACCATGTACATATTATTTAGAGATACAAATATGGGGGGGAGGGGAAAAAATGGAAGCAAGCAAACATGCATTATTGCAATTCCAACAATTCCTCAAAAAATAAAAACCCCAAAACTACTAAAGATCTATGGAGTGAAGCTGTGATGTCATCAAACAACTTTTCTAAAATATTATTTGTTGTATTCCCTGTGATTGTGTACAGTGATCAAATTTGCCAGATAATTGCTTAACTCCACTTCAGTTTCCCTTTGTAAACAAAGTCATTGAGTCAACATAAAAGACTCAAACAGTTTCAAAAGTGGAACATTTTGAAAGCATTTTGTTTGCTAATACAAATATACCTTATGGTTAACTATTTAGTAGAAATTGATTTCCTCAAACTTGGTCCAATTATTTGATGAGTCTAAGACAGAACAGCGTCAGTAGCACTTAGGCTGTTACAACATGGTTAATGTGTAAAAACCAATCATTAATCTCATAATTTTCTTTAGCATCTTTGTAGCATGTGCTCTGTGCTTAGCATTGTATTTTTTTAAAAGTGGGCAAAGGTCATGGCTAACTCATTCTCAACAATAGGCATTATATAACATGCCTGCTTAATTGCTGCAATGTAACCTCATTGAATTATCAAACTTTAACACTTTATTAGTAGTCTTTTTTCATTTTAAGGCTCATCACTACTTCCATATCCTAGATCCTATCATTATCCAGAATCAGATGTGTTTTAAGAAACCTATAATTTAAAATTGAATTACATGACTGCTAAATGGATTGTTGTCCCTTTTTTATAAACCAAATCAATACAAAGCAATAACCCTATACAAAATATGAAAATTGCTTTTAGATGACATCCTTTTGGAGACAGACCTATGATTAAAATATTAGACTTTAAATATCAGCAGGATTACATGTCTTTAAAATGAATAAAATGTGTTTAGGGTCTTTGATATTCCAATATTCCATCATCATTTTAAGAAGGCACAGTACTTTACAGCAGTGAAATGCCTCAACTCCTATATAAACAAAAAAACCAATAATTTATTCTGATAGTAATATCAATCAACCAAGACTGAATGGTTTCACTTGGTACTAAACTGTACATTCCATTTTGGGGTGGAAAAAATATTAAATATTGGATTCGTCATACTAAGGATCGTTCTGTGACAAAATTGCTTTTTTAAAAAAACAACCTAATTACTGTATTTATGTATGCTAAACTAGATGCAGTAACAAGACTCTTCTAATTACCTACCTGTCATAATGTGTATCAAGCACACACAGTACTGCAGCAGTTATTTCCCCCTCTGAACTCACTTTCTGAGTATTGGTTAACACTTCATTTTATGAATTCTCACTGTGCAGACATGAGACTCATCTGAAAATCACCTGCAATCTTCTTGAGGACACACATGCTTTGTTACAGGGTCATGCATGTTTATTTTCATAGACATCCATCAGTTCACTCTGCAGCTTACTTCCCAAAGAGTGATTTGGTGAAGAACATAACAGCCAAAAAGTGAAAAAGACAGATTGCGGTCCTGAGGTAGGACTCATTTCTAATTTCCTAAATTATAAAGACAAAAACAAACAAAACCTAATTTGAGATCTGTTCTGAACTCTTTTATCACACTATGACCGACCAACAAAGTTCCCGGAGCTGACCAGAACCACTATCCCACCCCAGCCAGCCATTCATTGCCACCGTTACATATTACTTATGGATGTGCAAATAACCTTTTCTTTTCTTTATATCCACTGCCTCATTCCCCGCTACACACATACTATTGTCTTTATACTCTCCACCAAAGCAAGCATAACCTTCAGCCTCTACCTCTAAACAAAATTTGGCATCAGGAGACTGAGAAATTTAAGAATGGCATGAAAATGTCTACTGCAGTACATCAAAGAACAGTTGAATTGTAACATGATGTTTAGGAGAAATCTCCAATCCATTCAACAGCTATCTATTGAATGCCTACTTTGCAGTCATTTTGGGGAATACAAAGTAAGATTTGTTCCTTGTTCAAGGAGCAGAGGTTTAATAGAAGCTCTTACTGCTGGGCCAGAGTATCAAGGGCCAGGACTTCCCATTGACTAGGGGCAAACCACCAGTTGTCTACATTTCCAATCACTAAAAATAACCAGGGCTTGCATGTTATAAAATTTAAGTAAAACTGACTTGAATACAAACTACTTAAAATTTTTCTGTGCTTAATTTTAATTAAAAATGTTCTTATTTCTGTCTCCTCCTTTTTGTCTTTTGCTTTGTGGGCTGTTTTCCTAGCCTTTTTCCTGGTGATTTCAAAGTTAAGTATAGTCTTTTATTCTGCTAGTGGTTGCTTTGAAATACTATTTCTGTACTCTAACAAAGTAGAGGATAAATTGCTTATTTACTTTTTACCTGTATTTAAAAGCTCATTTTCCAGTTCTGGCTAATGAGGTTTTAGACCCTGATGGTCTCTTTACATTGTGTCATTTCTAAAAGCAACTCTTTAATGTTTACTTAGATAGGTTAACAAAATTTCACTTATTTTGTGGTTTCCCCATTCTGAAGGTTGACTGATAAGGACCTACATTTTCTAGAATGTTTGCAGGAAGTATATTATAAGCTCTTCTCGTCTGAGAAAATCTTTTCTTTAAAACCTCCATAAACTGGCACTTAAATACCGTAGGAAAACATTGAGACAGCCCGAGTATGTTCTATTTTTTATTGGATTAAGTATTTTCCTTAGCTCATTCATTTCACTTACGCTGTCTGAAAACAACTCTAAGCAGTTATGTATGCCTGGAACTATAACCATGTCCAAAACCAACACAATTCCCTAAGACAGGCAGAATGACCTCCAACAATATCCAAGTCCTAATCCTAGAACCTGCAAATGTGAAATGTTACAAGGGGAATTAAGACTGCCAATGAGCTGACCTTAAAATAAATTATTTCTAAATATTTGGATGGGCTCAATATTAATCACAAGGGTCCTTAAAAGTGAAAGAGGGAGGTAAGAGGGGTCCAGTGTGATGCAGACGCCACCTGCTGCTGCTAGATATGAAGATGGAGTAAGAGACCGTGAGCCAAAGGCAGAGTCTTCAGAAGCTTGAAAAGATAAAAAAAAAAAACCTTGCCTCCCCTAAAGACTCTAGGGACTAATACAGCCCTGCTGACACCTTAATTGTAACCTAGTGGGACCTGTGTCAAGACTCCTGACCTACAGAACTGTAAGATTTCAAGCCATTAAAAGTTTGCGGCCTTTGGGAGCCCGAGGTGGGCAGATCACAAGGTCAGGAGTTTGAGACCAGCCTGGCCAACATGGTGAAACCCCATCTCTACTAAAAATACAAAAATTAGCCAGGCGTGCTGGTGCAAGCATATCTGTAATCCCAGCTACTGGGGAGGCTGAGGCAGGAGAATCGCTTGAACCCAGGAGGCAGAGGTTGCAGTGAGCTGATTGGGTCACTGAACTCCAGCCTGGGTGACAGAGCAAGACTGTCTCAAACAACAAAAAAAGTTTGTGGCAATTTGTTAAAAGCAGTAATGTAATGAATTCAAAATAACAAAATATCCAAATACACATAACTATAAATTGTAGTTAAGTACTTTGAATAAAACATGGCAGAGATTAACTGAATAGGGGAGGGCAGTCAGAAAAGGCTTTGAGGAAGTAATATTTTAGCCAAGACCTATAAGCAGCAGCTGCATCAGCCTTGCCAAGTGCGGTTGAATAACAGAGGCCTGACAATGTTTGCCTTAGACTTGTGCTCAAGTTATCAACTTAATGAAAATCCTCTCCCTTCCTCTCTTCCATCTCTACCCTCACTAAAATCTATGTGCCCCCAAATGTTAATATTGTATTCTCATCTTTCAGTTATCCATGCCACCAACCTGCCTAGGTATCCTGTGTGCTTCAGGAAGGGAACAGACTTTCAGTGGTACTGTCAACAGAGATGGTACACAAAGCTCAAGCCTGAATGTAATCTTGTTCCTCAGACCGAGTTCAGGTGGGCAGAGTGGAGCTGAAAATTCACTTTGAAGTTGAGGAAAGGTTTATTTTCCAGCTGGATGTGAACATGATAGCTACCTTTTTGATCAAGATGGGAAAGCCTACCTAAGCTTACAATTTTTGGGGAAAGACAACACACTTAAGTTGCCTAAGCTATTAATGGAGGAAACTGGTACTTGAACCCAGAATTCTCCGTCCTAAACATTACACTGTAAGACTTCTTAAATAGTTCTTTAAGCTTCTCAACCGATTAGCCAAGTATTACATGACTCAAAGAGAATAGAATTCAAGTTTAGTTTACATTTGTTTCCTAAAATTAATCTGAGGTGCCTTTCTCAACTTCTCTTTATCATCATCCATCTTCTCATGTCACACACTCGAAGTAACTGGTTTAACACGTTGTTTTGTCTCAGGAAGCCAAAAGGACAACTCAAAATTTAATTGAGGCACCACGATTCAGTGCAGGGCTTCTTGTACTCCTGAACCTTCTGCAGGGAGTGAACCTGAGTTAGAAAACTATAGTATTCTGGTACTTGATAGTCTAAATTTCAAAGTAATACAGAGAACAAACCAAACCGAAAAAAAAAACACACCTGACTATACCTATTAGCAGAGCCTTCTCACATCCACGCAACATCATGAAAACTAATCTGTCACAAAGCACAACTTCTCAGCACTTTTGTTACTTTGTTCAGTGCTTTCACATTCACCCTATTGCTGCTGTCAGTTGCTTTCTGAGATTTAGAAGCTGGGTTTTACATTTACTTCCAACAGATGAACATTACATATCCACACAAATGGAGCATCTATCAGTTGGTTTTTTTCTTGATCCCCCACTTCTAGGCTTTCCTTCATTTTTGCTGGGATTACTGTACACAGCAAATCCTTTTTACTTACTCTGTTTTCTTGCTCCACCAACGTTGCTCTAATGACTTTTTACCACACCGTCAATAATGCACTTTGCCCCCATACTAGTCTTGTTTTGCTTTTCTCTTTCAGACCGTCTCATCCTAGAAGTAACATTCACCCACGGGCATTTCCACTTACCTGTTCAGTCTATTCAGTGCCTTCTACACACCAGGTACCATTTTAGATGTTGAATAAGCATCCATGAACCACACATCTTCAAATCTTTGCCCTTGGAGGCCTTATATCTTAGAGATTAATTGGGGGGATTAAAAAACGAAGCTCCCAATTCAGGTTTGGAAGGGGGTGGGAAGGACCTGCACTTCCAATATCCCAGGTGATGCCACTAATTCAGGATGATGATGCAGAGAACAGGAACAGAGTATGCAGTTTAAGGGAGAGCCAGTCTGACATCTGTGTACAAGGACTACAAGGAAACAAGACTAAGTCATAGGTATCCGGAGTGGGAAGTTCCCAAACTAAGGGAATAGCAAATGCAGTCTGAAGTGGAAGTCTGCCTGGAGAGGATAAATGATAGGAACTGGGGGAGCCAAAACACTTAAGTGGAAAGGCAGTTGTATTAAGACATCAGTAAATGAGCTGGGGTCTCAATCAAGTTTCGTATTTTAAAAGGAGTATTCGTAAGTACAGTCAAGGGCAGAATCATAGGTTATAAACACAAGACACTCAGAATATGGCATAAACATCTTTTCTAACTTGAAATTTAGATGCAATCTTGAGTATTAGAAAGTACAATTTTGACAATTATTCTGAGGGTAACACTAGAAAACTGTGGACTAAGTTTTAAACACAAAACCAAGGGAGTTTTAGATGAAAGCCTTAGAGGAGAATCTAAATGCTGACGATAACCTATGTCTAAAGACATGGCTTGTACCTTGTGCACCTTACTTGTTCAGAATGATGGTGGCCACTGTGACAGTAGCCAACCAAGGAAATACAGGTATAGCACAAAGACAACTACACACCTGGCCTGTTAGGTGCTGTTACCAAAACAAAGTATCATTGGAGAAGAAAAAGGGAAGTTACTGAAATTGAAGAGTAAGGAAAAGCCTGTGGATTTAGAAATAAATGTGGGGTTGGGGCACATATTTTGTCAGTCAGCTATAAAACTGAGTAATGACTGCATGAACCATAAAAATAGTTTACTGGTCTCTTTCCTGCATATAAATTCTAAGGTGTTTTGATGTTCTTCTGCATTCCTATGGCTCAGCATTTCCAACAATTCAGGGTAGTAGATATATCCTTAAGTATATACAGCAAAATCAACAGGTATTTCTCAAAATACTTGTCTGCGCAGCATCCTGCCCCAAAGACTCTAATATAGTGCAGCTAGATTAAGATTCCAGGTCTTTACGTCTTAATAATTTTAAGACAACTGGTTAAGAACCTTTTCTTGGTAAATGCATAATCACTTTAGAATTCCTAGCACCACCTTACAGGACCCCAATTTTCATCTACTCTTGGAACATTCACTAGTCTCATCTAGTTACCCCAACCTGCTGAACAGTGTGGTATTCCATCTGGATCAGTACATCTCAACAAGTGCAGAACTGATGTCGTCGAAGCTTTTTTTCAATCTTTTTCAGTCTATGTAAGTTGAAGTCAACATTAAACGTACTAAAAATTCACAGTATATATGCTTTTATAAACAAGTGTGAACAATTAGTACATGCTCACCTCTACTAATATACTGACAAATCTAGGTCTTAAAAGTAAACATGCAGTTATTAAGGATTTAGTATATTCAACCTGAGATCTAATTACTAATCACTTAGGAGTATACTAACATTTCATTTCGGGGAACTTACTACCAAACTCAGGTCTTTGTTATTTACCTCTATGACTAACGCATTTATGTCGGCACTTACTTAAGTTAGCCCTATGTATCTGTGGTTCCTGCATCCAACCACAAACAGACTGAAAATACTCAGGAAAAAAAATCTCACGAAGTCCCCAAAAGCCAAACCTGAATTTGCCACACGCAAATACTATACTGAATCTACATGAATAATATGTAAGATATTTTACCAGATTATTCAAGCAATATATAGACAGCTTAAAGCATACAAGAAGACATGTATAGATTTACATGCAAACACTGCACCACTTTACATAAGGGACTTGAGCACCTGAAGAATTTGGTATGCACTGAGGGTCCTACCAATCCCTCCACTGATACTGAGGGTCAACTATGCTAAAACTCTGCATGAGCCTAGATTTCTTGTGTTACTGGCCATAGACAGGTACAATCTCGTACCTCATTTAAAAAATATTTACAATGATTTTTTGAACTTTTAGAAATGGCTGAACTTTGAGGGCTGGTCAGAACATACCATTCTTATTTAATGTTTTAGAGTTAGTACAGACCCATTAATAAACACTCAACCCAGGAGCCAACACATATTGGACATTTATTAGAAGCAGGAGTTTAAGACTTTTTATATACTTTGGCCTCCTCTCTTAAACTTTCATGTTATCAACTGGCCAAAAAACACAAAAAACAAAAGAACTCCCACCTTACTAACGTGTATAATATAAACAAAATGAAGAATGCTTCAGACTTACCAAGATTTAAGGAAACAAGTGTGATCTGAGAACTTGTCAGATTCCATAAAAATACTAGGCAGAAGATAACCTTTTAAAATACTGACATATTTTAATTCAGAGTCCATTTACCACCTTTCCATTCTGCTTGAAAATGAACTTCTGATCTCATATGTAAAGTAAGAATACAAATACATATTTCACAGGTAATGAAGATTAAATAAGAAAATCCAGATAAACTTTGGTCCTTGTCTCCACTTCCCCAATTAATTAATAAGTAACCTTTAGACCATCTGTAGTGACAAAACAAAAACGCCATAAAAACTGCGATAATAACCTTGAAGTTTTTATTTCAATATTCTCGTTCTGGACAATTTCTTAACAGCTTTAAAATGCAGTATTTTATTTATTAACATTAAATGCGCTAGAACTCAAACAGCCAGACCAAACTGTAAATACAGAACTAGGCACATCTCAATGTTCTGTCTCTGTGTTTACATTACTGGATAAGAAAATTAAGCATTCTTCAACTTTTCTATGGGTCTTAAAATTCATGGAATATGTGCATTTTCCTAATGACCCTTTAAAACTAATACCACATATGAAATGTTATCAAGGCAGAAAACTACATTAATTTCGACTTTAATAAGATGTAACTCATACAACCACTAAGCTAAAGAATAATCTGAAGTCTCAAGTGGGCATGATGATCTTATTTCCATCAAACACTAAAAACTGGCTCTGTGCAGATTGAGCTCTCCTTACCTTTACTGCTCAGTTGAGAGGCTCTTAATTCTCTAAAGTTAGACAAACTATGCAAAACTGTCAATTAAACAGTGTATCATTAAATACATAATAAACTTTAATGTGACACTGAGTTGTTCTCCAGGAAGTTGCAGGCTGCATTTTGTCAGGAGTCAGTGTGTCTTCAAACTACAGGAGAAAACCCAAGTCTGGCTTGTAGTTAGACAGGTCTGCCTGTAAAATGAAGATCTCAAAAGTTTTCAGTAAAATCACCAACACTTTGCAAGCAGCTTTAAAAAGAATTCCTAAAATGTTAAGTGCTTTCTTTCCAAATATAGGCTAAAAATAGAAAGTTGTACATGCAAACGCCAAAAAAAAAAAAAAAAGTTGACCCATTTTTTCCCCTCCAAATAGTTAAGGCTATTTATTAAACCTAAAGCAACATGACCTCTTAAGTCTCAAGCAACTTCAAGGTTAAAGCATTTTAAGAACAAGGGTCAAAGTTGTTTTTTCTCAGGTCAGAGATGAGGCCATTATCAACTTGCTCACTCATCTGAATTTCAAAATGGCTAAATTAACAATGTGAATCTTTTTATACAATACTTACATGGCTTTTTGTTGGCATGTTAGCATGCCTAAGAAAATCTTAATAGAACCAAGAATGTAAAATTTGCCTCACATTCTAAAGCCAGAAACAAATCAAAAGCAATTCCTATTAAACCCTATAGAACCACAGATCACTACCAAACCCACAACAAAACATACACATTTATTAACTTGTTTATTAGATTTAAATCTCAGTTCAAGCCCAATTAAGTTCTGAACACAATGAATACTAGTTTCAGTCTCTAGGGAGAAAAGCCATTTAAGTCTTTGTTATTAAAACATATTTGACTTACATTTTAGAATATTTAAGAAATCATCCAGCAGGCTTCCTATCACACTGTTCCAGTTTTTAAAAAAATTGCTAGTGTATCTCCCCAAAAGCACACCATTTTGCAAACTACCAGACCATGCTGTATTATGAAACTTTTTTTTTTTTTTTTTTTTTTTTTTTGCGTTTAAGTCTTGGTCTTGCGCCCAGGCTGGAGTGCAGTGGCAGGATCTCAGCTCACTGAAACCTCCACCTCCCAGGTTCAGGTGATTCTCCTGCCTCAGCCTCCAGAGTAGCTGGGATTACAGGTGCACGCCACTGCACCCGGCTAATTTTTTATATTTTTAGTAGAGACAGCGTTTCACCATGTCGGCCAGGTTGGTCTCGAACTCCTGACCTCAGGTAATCCGTCTGCCTCAGCCTCCCCAAGTGCTAGGATTATAGGTGTGAGCCACCGTGTCCAGCCGGAACTTTTTAAGCATAGTTTGAAAGCCACGTTTGTCACTAAATAACCAAAAAGACACAATTATTAGGTCTCCTTCAATTCAAAAAGCTTAAGAACTCTGCTAATGTACAATTTGATTTCCATTTTATAAATCACTGTTCATTTCACATCCTGAAAATTTATGTTTTCATCAACTCCAGAATGATAGAATTCTTACCTTTCTATTCAGGAATCCAAGGCTAAGTTCCTTAAATTTCTTAAAGAACACATTAGAGGTGAAAACTTTTGTTAGACTTCAGACAATATTTTTAAAAGCTGATTTCTAGATTTATTGGGTGGTCTAACCTAGTGTTATGGAAGTTTATTTCTTATTACTAAGATAGCCTCTTTTACTCCAAAATACAATGACATTTCTCAAAACTTATCTTTCAAACATCAAGTTTGCCTGTACTTCAGCTTGGGCCCAATTTTACCACTTGGTCCTTTTAAATCTATTATTCAGGTATCCCACATTATTCTACACAAATACACATAGGCTAGAGACAAAAACACATGAAGAAAAGAGAGAAGGCAGAAATGCTGGGTAAAACACTAACTGCCACTTCTTAGTTTCCACTTCAGTGACTTTAAGTCAAATAAGCCTGGAATCAACTATCACTGTTGCCAAAGTCTGGCTTACGTAGGGAGTAGGGAACATAAATGTTAACTACAGACTTAGAAATAAATGAATATCTGAATCTCACCCCACCGCTGCACTCTTGGCATTTGGGAAGAGTGTACACATACATTTAACTGTTACTCTATTTAGCATTTGTTCTTTTTCTAACTCCCATTTTTTTAAGTTGCAGATGCTAAAAGCAGTCTGAGGACCTTGGTCATTTATAGCTTATAAATCACTGACAATCAGAAAGAAAAACTAGTATACAAGCATTTAACAGTTACACTTCAGTTACTCATGTATTGGTAAACTGGTACTTGCTTAATAGAAACAAATTGTACCCCAACCCTAAATTCCATGCTTAAAAAAACTCATCTTTACACATTGCTTTAAACAGAGCGGCATTCTCTCTAAATTTAAATACTTGAGTAATATATGAGCAACATAAATTAACTTTTAGATTAAGTAAAATATCCTGGAATAACACTAACTCCAAAGAAAGCAAAAAGATATACTCTAACTTTACAGATGATCATCAGGTATACAGTATGTTTAGTCATATCGCAATACTTAACAGCCAAATAAATCTAACAACAAAAAATATAGCCAGAATTTATACTGCCAAATCTGACACGCAACCCCAAAAGTGAAATGTTTTTGAATGAAAACAAGACAAGATGTATTTACACAAAAAGTTACACATTTTCTTTAATATTTCATGTATCTTGTACATTTAACAGTGGAAGTCGAAATCTTCAGTAATATTTAATTTTCAAAATCTTCTGGTCACAATCCCCACCAAACTCAACAGGCCGGGACAAGTGCAATACCATACAGAAACACAGCATTGCAACCGATCCCAACCTGTGTAGAAAGGGGTTTGAGTTTCCCTTACTTTTCTACAGACTTTTCACTACCACAGTCAGTTTTGCATGGATTTGCACAGCAGAATATCACACAGCTGGATGCAAACCTGCAAAACTAACCATAGAACAGTGTTCAGTAACAGGACAGTTTGATTGGGCGACAGGCCGAAGCTGGAGTTCTACAGCTAGCAGTACTTTAAGTGCTCATAATGCAGTAGATAACTAAACACTACCTGCACTATAAGCACTTTAGTGCTACAGAAGCTGTCACATCAGATAGACCAGGCAGATTCTACATCGACACAATAAAAGTACACAAAATTAGTAAAAATCATTCATTTGAAGGAAATAGCAGGCCACCATCAGTTTTGCATAGATTTGCACAACTACATTCTTCTTGTAGTGCAACTATGCAAAACTAACAGAGGACTGCAAACAAAAACTATTAAAACACCTATATACTTGCTTGGCTTGAATTATTGGATGAATACATAACTTCTTATGCCAGAAGGAGCACTTAGGGCAGTAGATGCTAATCTACTTCACTATCTGCACTAGATGCACCTTAGAACAAAAAGCACTCAACATCAGCAGGCCCTGCACTTTAAAGCCCAACTTGGCTTCCCGAGGCAGCTGTCACCATAATGCTACAAGTGCCTTCACTGCAGTAGATGCACATATCACTACCTGCACTGTAAGCACTTTGACATTATTCTGACTGGTCACAATCTTCAGTTTTACAAGGTGATGTTCTCTTTTTTCCTGCTAAATTTGAAATAGATAATTAGAATTAACACCTCAAACTCTAACAACTATAAACCATACAAATTCAGCATAATCCCTAATGGGGAAGAAAAAATTAGTTTAATTATCTCAAAGATATGAGGTCCATTTAGACACGTATTTATGCCTTAAGAATTCTTTACAGAAGGCAATCATAACCAACCATCCAACTAGCACTGGAAGTGGTGGCTCTTCCAATGGCTGGCCTCTCCCAAATGGATTGACACATAGAGAAAAAAAACAAAACAAAATGAGACTGCAAATAAATGAGAACTAATTTTGGAACATTTAAAGGCAATTTAGTCCATGTGTACCTTTTAGAGGAAATCTTCACATCCACGTGGCAAAACATTTTCCTCCTCTTCTGGCTTCCACTTAGCAAATACTTGTTGAAATGATTAACAAAATTACTGTTCAGACTACACTTCAAGTGTTATCAGTCAATTGTAGCAGAACGTAAATATCCTGTTTAAATCTATCATCTCAGGTTATATCTACTTTATCACCCAACTTAAAAGAGGGTCTAAAATTATATTTCGTAAACTGCATAAGCCAGTTTCCAAAAATGTACAGGAATATTTACACTGTAATTTTACTACCTTAAAATTAGCAAATCCGTACTTAATGAGTTAGTTTTTCAGAAAAGGTACATTGTCTAAAGAAAGAAACACCTACTTTTACTCTCTAAGAAACCAATCCTATTTATTCAACTTTAATAGCAAGAAAAATTTGTTTTTAAGAAAAGTTCAAGAAAATCAGAATACACTTACCCATTCCAGAAAACTTCCTTTTCAGCAAGTATTCTCAGAAAAGCTACTGGTGCAGTTAGGTCCACGTGTATGACTGGAATAGGGAAAAATAAGGAAAAAAAAGATAAAACATTATTTGCTCAAAATTACTACCACCGTCCAAATCTATATTTGCTATTTTCCAACCTCCTAACAGCAATTAATTCCATCCATTTGTGAGAGTAAGAGTCGAGCAATACTAGCAGGATTTAAAAGCCCAATAATTTACAGTTGAAAAATACGTAAGAGAATAAAGTTGAAAAATCCTTAGCTATCAGATACATGTCTAAATAAGCTCCTAAAATACTTGATTATGATCAGCAGCAATCACCGACTCCACTGTACAGCTCCAGTAAAAGGAAAAAAAAAAAGCAGCCCACAGACTATTCTTCACCACCCCTCCCCCAATCAAGACCTCGTGGCTGCAAGCCGGGATAAAGAGTTGTTTCTCCAACTGCTGTGGTCCTGATGGCATGCCGTTAATTTTCTCTTTTGGTGATATTGCAACGACGAGCCTGCCTTTTTCAGTTCCTTTTCCCTTTGCTGCAGTTTAGGAACAGAAGACCGGGCAGGAACACCCGAGACTGCAAAGTGCCCGCCACGCTCATGGAGCCCGGGCCGGCAGCACATGTCGCACAAGGGGGAGCGCGGCCCTGCGATTCTCCGCGTAGCCGCCAGGGGGCGGCGGGTCAGAGTCAGGCCCCGCCGGACGCGGCAACCCCCCCAACCCGTTTCCCGGCGGCAGCCGCGCGGCGACCGGCGGCGCCGAGGCCCGAGTGCGGCGGGGACGCGGGCGCGCCGCCCCTCCTTTGTGTCCCCCAGCCCCCCCGAGCCCGGCCCAGAGGGGCGGGGGCTCCGCGGCCGCGGTGCCCGTCGCACGCGGCCCGAGGCCTAAGCCGGGAACAATCGGCGGCGGCGCGCAGTCGCCGCCATGTCCCCCGCCCTCACCCCCGTGCAGCCCGCCCCGCAGGAACATGGCGGCGGGGACGCCGCTCCCGCCGAGCCGGGCTGGCCCTCCCGCGCCACACTCCCAGCAAGCGGCCGGGCGCAGGCGGCTCCACGCCGCGGCTGAGGCCGACTGCGGCCTCCTCCGAGGGCCACGGCGGGGAAGTTGCGGGCCCCGCCCCGAGGCTGCCCACGCGGGCTAACAAAGCCCACGCGGAGCGGGGGTGGCGCCCAGGCCGCGCCGATCTCGGCGCCCCTCCGCCCACCCTCGCGCGTACAAAGTTTGGGGAACCGCGGGCTCCCGCCCACGCCACGCCGCCCGCTGGCGCGCAGGTACCTCGTGGGCGCGCCCCCTCCCGGCCCGCGGCCTGCCCCATGTGCCGCCGCCGCCGCCGCTTTGTTCTGGAGGCGCTTTAACTCTCGCCCTCGGGAGAAACTTTCCTACCCAGAGACCCCACGCCCCGCGCGCGCCCCGGGCCCCGGAGAAGGCACGGGCCTCGCACGTCCTCTCCCCGAGGGGCCATTGTGTTCGCCGTCCGCCCACCCGCCTTCGGGTCGGCCCAGGCAGGGTCTGCGCGGGTCCCGGGCGCGGCCGCCACGCGCACGCCGCCCCCTCCCACCCTCCCGCCCCGGCCCTGCCCCCCTCCGCCGGCCCGCGGGCGAGCGAGGGGGCAGCCAGATGCGGCTGCCACACGCCGGGGCGGCCAACGGCCGAGACCCGCCCCGGCCACGCCGCCGCCGCCACGCTGCCCCGGGCCAGTCCGCCCCGGGCCGCTCCGCCCCGCCCGCCAGACCCGGGCCGCACACAACAGGTTTCCCTCCGTCGCCGGAGGGGCGGGCAGACTCACCAGGAGGAGTAGCCGCCACCATCTTCGGCTGGCCGGCCGCGGGCTCCTGCTCCCGCCTCCCCGCCCGCCTGCGCTTTACTACGACCGGAGGCCCCAGGCCGGGGGTGCGGCCGGCCGGCCCGCCCCGCGAGGAGAGCTTCGCGGAGGAGCGCGAGCCCCGGCGGCGCTGCGGTAGTCGTCCCCACCCCCTCGGCCTCGCCCGAGGGCGCGAAGTGGCGCGAAGGCGCAGGTCGGGCGGCGGCGGCGGCACCTCGAAGGACCATGTGGGTGAATGAAGGGCGGCGGCTCCCGCCTCAACGTAAATACGGACAAGCCCCACTCCCTCATTAGCATAAAAAACAAAGTACTTCCGACCTCCCCGCCCGCCCGCCAATCACCGCAGGCCCCGCCCACGGCGGCTCGTTCTTGGCGGCCGGGAGAGCGGGAGCCGGGAGCCGCTGGCGGCGCCGCGCAGCCTTCCCCGGGCCGCGCTCCCCCGTGGCCCGCCCACCGCCGCCAGCCTCGCGGAGCGCCTCGCCCGAACACCTCGCGCCACGCCTCCGGCACGCCCTCCGTTAACAAGCTCTGCGCGCGTGCAGACCCCCGCGCGCCGCACACCCTCCTGGAAGCGCACGCTTCCCGGGGCTTCCTGGGAGCCCTGCTCTCCCTGGGACTCGACGTGTACGCTGTGCGATCACAGTTTATTACTTTACCGGCCCTTGGTGGGTTTCCGAGGTAATTAGGGGCCTGCTCCAGGCCAACCGGAACCAGAGAAGTAAAATCCAGTGACTTTAACATCGAAACAGAATTACTCGCTGCAAAGATCGTTTGAGACCCAGAAATAAATACATTACACCCGACACTCTTGTGAATGCACACTTCGTGGCAATGTGTTTCCTTAACCTGGCCGCGTGTAAACCAAAACGCATGCCCGAGCAGAGGTTTCACAGCTGCAGTACCTGAGCCTCCCCTCTCATGCCCAGCTGCATTTAGTAAGAACTCTGGGTTCTCCAGTAGAAATAGCATAGCTCGGAAAGAACCTCATAAACAACCACAAAGCTGAGAAAAGAAGCCCAATCAGGAGCACCTCCTTCTTCACATTGTGGTTCAGGAAATTCCGGAATTCTCAGAAACATAATTGTTAAAAGTGAGGATTCATAACATTTACGAGAAATACAGCAATTATAAATTGGTTTAAATCTAGTAAGTAGCTACTGCAAAGCACATATCACTGGTTCGTGATTGTACAAGTCAACTGTAAAACACACATTACCAAAGGATGTCTTTAATGCCCCAATGTTAAAATTTTTGACATTCAAACCTTGACAGTATTGTCATTTACTGTCTTTGACTTATTTTATCATGCTTTGCTTAAATCCAATTGTCAAACTAGTGATGACATAAAAAATAGTGGATTAAAGTTTTGCTACTCTTTTTTTTATTGAGTCTAGTTTCTAGATATTCCTTTCTTTGTAAATCAAAATAAAAGGCCAAATCTGAAATTTTACAATATCTAATATTTCTGTAATATAGTCATTTATGAACGTTTCAAAGAGGAAAACACTGCTAATTTTATTACAAGTCTAATTTTACGTTACTTTTGGTCGGCATTGACTAATATGTCAATGCCTTTTTCTTTAAAACTTTATCTTCTGTTTCAAATTAGAATGGTTGAGGCGGGGGGATGTTGTGAGTAAGATTGTTCATCACACTCTCTGAATCATGGGAAATCCCACCTATATACAGGTTTCTTAGCAGGAGTTATTCATCTCATAGTTTCCTTCCAATTAAAGTCAACATTGAAATACTACTAGCTTTAAAAAGCTGTTTTTAGGTATCTCACTATATTTCTGTGGAAATCTGACATACAAGCAACTATTTTCTGTGACTACAGTATAAGAAATAATTCTTAATGTATACCCTTTTTTATGGTAATCAGGATTTTGGAAGACGCAAATTCATTTAAACCTACTGACTTGGAAATTCCAGAAAGTTTCAGAATTAGTAGGTTGCATTTTAAGGGTTTCGCTCATACTTCCTTTCAAAATTAATAAATTATCTTAAGTATAATTAGAATAATTGAAAACGTTTTAATCCCAAATGAATTTGAAGCTTAGCCAACTTGATGTTTTTTGGAAGTCACTACTAGTGAGAAACCTATCTTCCCTGATTTTAGGGGCCACACTTGGGTATACTTGATAACTAAAGGGAAGATTTTTGTGGTTATAATTTTGAAGATCACAAAAATATGTGAACTGCTAACAAATGCCTTCTGCAACCAAGGAATGTAAAAATAAAGCAATCTGAAATGCCAAAGTGAGACACACAGCCTTCTCAAGTCAGCTAAAACACAGTACTGTTTTACACAATCCAGAACATTCAGAACGTTTTAGATAAAATGAAAAGCTCAGTTCAACGTCAGAGCAGTTCTATATAGCCCTCAGTTTACATGATATATAGAAAGTAATAGAGAATATCTGTATTTTTTACTTTTTACCCATGTGTTTCGGTCTTATAGATGTTATGAATTAAGAAGATCTGAAAAGTTATTGACCTTGTAAATAATATTGAGGATTTTATTTCCTACCTTTTATTGTTTAACTATGTCAGTATCAACTGAGTTAAATGTGTTGAATTTTTGAAAGATAAATTCAGTTAAAATGTTGTGTTTTAGCATAATTATAGAATTTAAGAAACTAATAAAACAATAATCACATTCACATTATAGATGTGAAAACATAGGAATGATGCAAGAATCTAAGTTAAAGACAACTTCTAGTGTTATTTTAAACCTGTATTTATATATAATTTAAATAGTAATTCAGAGGGTCTAAAAATTGGCTAAGCAATTAAGTATATTTCATATTTTTGCGAATTGGCATTTTTAACATAGATGCCTATAAGTATGTATTATTTTCCCACAGCATTTGTATTTTACGGAAAAGGAATACAAATTTAAACACCACGTTGAGTTCAGAAAGTGAACTGGTTATAAACTGAGAACATTTTGGACTCTTGTAATGTAGCAAACAGTAATCAATAACACACATTCAATGATGAAATTTGGGATTTTTTTTACAATATATATCTATAAATGTCTGAAAAGACACAGTCTAGTCCTCCCATATTAATTATGTTTTCCATTGAAACTGTTCGGTCCACTTTAGCAATTATGTATTATGTGTCTGCTATGCTTGCACTGGTCAAAGATATAAGGAGGGATAAGACAGAACCCGTGTCCATGAAAAGTTTAGGAACTCCAGAATATTATTGATTACCACGAATCTTTCACAAATAAGCTGAAGATTTCATGTCTTCAACCTTTTTTTTTTTTTACTTGTTCCAATGTCTAATCCAACTGTTATTCTGATGGCAGGTTATTTTACATCCTTAATTTAGAATTTAGAACATCTGCATTTTGTTTATGGTAGTAGATAATCCTGCATAACATGAATATATGAATTATTCACTACAAATGACATTCCAAGATGCTACTAATGACAATAAATTTATAGTGAACACAAAGACCATAATCATTTAACCTGATAGACTTAAGGTTTTGGAATTAAGAAATTATAAATTATAGAGGGAAAAATGAACGTGTGTGGTTTTGAATAAAGAAGCAATTTGAAAAAATTACTCTGTTTTCATATCTTTGAAGTTGTTACTGTGGTACTCTGTAGAACCAGATGGGTATAATTATTATTTAATTAAGAAAAATAGACAGAATAGGTATTATTTGTCACAATAAAGAGGATACAGTCTCTACCCTTAAGGAAGTTTGCTATGCATTGATGTCTATCAGTATATGTAAAGTGGTATGGCTTTTATAAAACTAATACATTTTGAATTTAAACATTTAAAGGCAATATATTGTTATGGTACATCGTGGTAAAGTGTTTCACTAGTTTTTCATTTGTTTTCACTAGAAGAATGAAACATCAAAATTGGAAATGGCTTATTTTCAATTTCTTGTTCTTAACTCAGTGGTTCCCAGCCCAGCTGTACTTTACAATCAACCAAGAGCCTTTGAAACATGCAAATGTGTGACCCTTACTTGCAGATATTCTAATTTAGGTGGTAAGAAGTGGGGCCAAAATCCTTTTCAAAAAATTCCCTGGTCATACTTATATGAATCACGACTGACAAGCTCTGGTACTTAGTTCTTGAATGAAATAAAAATGTTTGATTAATCATTACTATTAGCTGATTAATCTTGATAAATGTTTGTGCCTGTTTTTATCTCTATTGCATATGTATGTTATTAATTAACACATAAGGAAGCAATGAGAAACTGGCCCAGGATATTGCAACTCCTTCATCAAGGAGTTATGGGCATAAAGTTTAAAAAAAAGAGAGACAGAAAACCTTCAGAAATAATTCTGAAAACTTAATGCCTTACACTGTAGTAACCTTGTTTGGGAAGACACATTGGTAATTAGAGTGCTGTTATATCTTTGCTATCTGGGGTTGAAGTTTAATTTAACTAACAAATATACTTAATCTTGGAAAAATTATTCCTCACATGGATTGTGTTATGTTTGAAAAAAATTCTCTGGAGTGGACATGTTTAGATATGATAAATTGAATTTGTTCTCAATCACTTAGCAGTGAAAAAGGGCTACGTAGAGATCACCTGGATCATCCACAAATTTTTTTTAAATAATAAAAGACAACAACAAGAAGTGTCCAGGGCAGAGAAATTGCCAAATACTACTGATTTTAGTTAATTTCATTCAATTTTCTAAACTCTTCTTAGGTTTTTCTTGTTTGTGTGTTTGCTTGTTTGTTTGTTTTAATATTCTTGCTTTCAAATGTAGGATTTACCTTCAGTTTTTCCCAGAAGAAACAAGTTGATTCAGCCTATCATGTGGCTGTATTCTGCTAGATAATAGTTCTAGAAACAACTTAAGATATTGATTATATAATTTGGTCCTTAAGATTGCTCAAAATAACACAAATTTGACAGTTGTCCTACTATTTCACAAAACTATACTTAAGTACCAATATTCATCTTAACCATCAAGCCTAATAATTTCTATGTATATCAAGATGATGAAAATTTATTTTTATTTTGTGTAAATTGTGATGGGTTATTTATATCTTTAATAATTTGCCTTTCTGGGGGCACTTTAAAAGTTGGATAGCAACGTGTTCAGAAGGAATATTTATGAAGGTTCAATTGCTGTATTTCTAAAAGTGTGCAAAGAATAAACTGATAAAAATCATAAAAACTCAGAAGTATTATTTACATGAGACTACAGTGAAGGAAATACACGTTTGATAAATTTTGCAAACCAGTGCACCTTAGTTCCCCTAAATACCAGTTAATTAAGCCTTTCCCCTATGCAGGCAGTAAATTTTAATATACCAGCTTATTTTTCACATACTCATGTTCAAAACAAATAGGTATATTACAAAGTTTTGACCAGGTAAAACCAAGACTGAATTTGAACAGTAATGACAAATCATGTCTGAAATGATAAAACTGTAAGGACCAATTAACATTATGGAGAATAAGTGGGAGCTCTGTACTGCAATTGTCCGGGGAGAAATCAGTACCCACCCAAGTCACAGAAACCATCCTTGAGAATGTGAATGATTTTCTCTGTTCTCTGAGAATATATGCATAATGGCATTGTGTTAGTAGGAAGACCAGCTATGTCTGACATATTTGTTTGTAAGAATTTTCCAAAATTATGTGGGTATAAATTAAAAAGCAAATATTTGATTTAGCCATACATGCTTACTTGTGCCCAGTGTTAACATTTGCTTGCAAGATATTTAGAGCAAATTGTTCTCCTTCTCTGGCTGCGATGTCATGGTAGCTGTTATTAAGAGCCACAAGTAAAATTTATCCAATAAAGTATTTAAAGCCAAGTCAAGATAGGAAAGGATGAGGAAAAACTGAAGCATATGAGTCATAAAAACCCAAGCAGGATATTGAAACAAGGAGGAAGATGGAGCCCGAAGGATGGGAATAGGGTATAGAAAATAGCCTAGGAAGGTGGGTGCTGGAAATATTCTATATTTTGCTCTAAGTGGTTACATAGATGTAAATGAAAGTCACCATTACACACTTATAATTGGTGTACTTTATGCCTTTTTTTCTGTGTGTGTTACTTCTCAGTTTCAAAATGTACTAACAGCAATAACAGCAAGCAGGAAGAAATCAGTGTAAGAACCCAAGGTAAACAGAAGAGCAGGGATTAATGAGATACACACAAGGACAATGTAGTTAAATTCTTACATATTTGCTGTTGCTGGCTTTTATGTGTTCTTTGCAATTAAGGAGTCGTTAGCAGAATGGACAAATCATCACAGTTAATATTTAAGAAACTACTTACTAATGCCCAGCAGTCAGAAGAGGTGGCTTTTATGATGCCAAATATTTAAGAAAAGACTAATCTCTAACGTTAGCCAAGGGAATTCTCTTTTGCAATACTACATGGTTAAGAGATGACTGACTTCTTACATTATCCAGGTGATCTGGATGTTTTAATATACATTGTTTAGATCCTCATTGAACATTAGCTGTAGCAGTTGGTTATTTTAATAATCAGTGTTCAAGAAAGATTAGTGCCTAATATTGGTAAAAAAAAGATTGAACTATTTTAAAGTCTAATACACGTTCACTTAAAATAATTGCCACAAAGTGTGTTCTCAAAAATTGTTTGTTGAAATAATTAATGAGTATGAAAATCCTATCTAAAGAATTATGAGTGCAATTACCATTCTATTAATGTATCCTTAGAGACATATTTAATAAATATGTCTTATAATCTTATCTGAAATGGGAGACACATTTGGGTTTAATTTACATTCATGTAGTATTATACAAAGCTTGGTAAGCCTTGGTAAGCTTTGAAGCTTTGAAGCCTTGGTAAGAACCAGTGGGATGCCAGAGATCAGAAAATACCAGAATAAAGAGATGATGGAGATACTGATATAAGAATCTGTTAAGATTGTCAGGCTTTTGAGTTACAAAATCAGGAGTGAGTTGAGACCAAGGAATAAAATATTAATAATGGCTGGGGGTAAGGGGTATAATCAAAATGGCAGGGAAGCAGAAAGATATAAACAGGATATAAACACTCCGAATCAGAGAAACAGAAACAAAGATGAAGCTCTGAACAAATTACTGGTATCATGAGTGGGTCTTAAGAAAACACATTTTATCTGGGAAGGCTCAGTGATTTCCAAAGCATCTCTAGCCCTAAGCAGAAAGTTTTCTGTCTTAAAGAGCATTAGACACTGCCTTCCTCCATTGTCCGTGTGTCATTTGAGTTATTCTAATATCAGAGTGACTACTTCACAGGTAGGCCAATGGGGAATTTCAGCTGTGTGGGCTAGATATAGGTTGATTCATTAAATTTCTAGGGCACTATATATTGTATCACATATCCCTGACATAAAAACTAAAACAGGAAACTTCCAGCTTCAAAAATGGTGGTGTAGACACAAGCCAGCTTTGCTTTCCCCCATGGAAAACCAAAAACAAATATACAGCACTGAAACTGTCACCAGGAATATCCCAGAACTCAAATATGAAGATGAGTCAGTTCCTGGGGTCACAAAAAAAAGTAAAAACAAGCAAACAACCAACAACAACAACAACAACAACAACAACTCTCCAACCAGACTGTGAGAGAATCAGATTTTCACATATGCAACACTCCTTATCCCAAGCTGACTGGCACCAGTGTGCAAAAACTTGTCCTTGACTCATGTTTTCTACACTAGAAAAAGTGAAATTGAGGTGGACAAGCAGCTTCCCCACCATCTTTTCTTTGGCGGGAGACCTGTCCATGCCTCAAACCACAGGAAGCATCATGATTGCCTGAAGAGAGATATATCTCTAAGGACAGCCAGTGGCAAAGGGTGGAAGCTAGACTAGCATCTCCACCCCTGGAAACTCTGCTGTGTAGCTCAGCCAAAGGAGACGCCAAATTAGAATGGCTGTTCAGCAGCACCATGCTGAAGTGGGTATGTTCCACAGGTCCCCTGGGCACAAACCCCTAGCAAGTCTTTCAACACTACACAGATATCCCCTCTGGGATCTTTCCCACTCTGAATGGGCAGTGTTCTGATTATTTGCCAGAGCTGAGACAAACCTGGGCTTTAGGCACCATTTAGCACCAAAAAGGAGGTAGTGACTTAGTGTGGGAAAACATAAGAAACTCAATAGGTAAATTATGAAGAATCTCTAAGCAAACATATTCAATGAAAAACAAACAAGGCTGGGCACAGTGGCTCATGCCCGTAATCCCAGCACTTTAAGAGGCCAAAGCAGGAGGATCACTTGAACCCAGGAGTTCAAGATCAGCTTGGGCAACATAGTGAGACCCTGCCTCTACAAAAAATGAAAATTAGCCAGGTGTAGTGGCACATGCCTGTAGTCTCAGCTCCTCTTGAGGCTGGGGTGGAAGGATCACTTGAGCCGAGGAAGCTGAGTTGGCAGTGAACCATGATTGTACCACTGAACTCCTTCTTGAATGATAGAGCAAGACGCTATTTATTTGTTAAAAAATCAAAACAAGACAGACCAGAAGACTGAAATAAATAACTAATTTTTCAATGCAAAGACATAAGAAATGATAGCAAATAGGGAACTATGACCTTCCCAAATGGACAAAGCAAGAGCCAGTGACTGACCCTAACAAGAGAGCAATATGTGAGCTCTCTCACCAAGAATTATAGCAGTATAAAAATTTATAGCAGTATAAAAAATTTACAGCAGTATGAAAAACTTAGTGATAACCAAGATAATGTAGAAAAACAATTCAGAAATGTATTAGAGAAATTTAACAAACAGGTTGAAATAATAATAATTACAAAACCCGGAAATCTTGGAACTGAGAAGTACATTCGCTGAACTGAAGAACACATTGAAGGTTCTCAACAGCAGAGTGGATCAAGCAGAGGAAAGAATAAGTGAACTTAAATGAAGGCTATTTGAAATTATACAATCAGAAGAGAAGAAAATAGAATGAAAAGGAATGTAGATTGCTTATAAGATAAAGAAAATTACCTCAAAACACCAACTCTAAGAATTGTTGCTGTTCAAGAGGGAGTTGAGCAAGAGCAAGGGGTAGAAAGCTTAATTTAAAAATAATAATAACAGAAAACATTCCAAAACTTAAGAAAGATATAAATATCCAGGTACAGGAAGTTCAGAGTACACCAAACAGGTACACCAAACAGTACACCAAATAAGACTACCCCAAGGCATGTAATAATCAAACACTCAAATGTCAAAGGCAAATAAATTATCCTAAAAGCAGCAAGATAATAGAAGCAAATAATATAGAAAGGAATTCCAATTCATCTGGCAATAGACTTCTTAAGGGAAACCACACAGGCCAGGAAGAATGACACTTTCAATGCACTGAAAGAAAAAAAAAAACAAACCTTCCAGCCAAGAATACTTTGTCCGGCAAATCTATTTTTCAACTATGAAGGAGAGGTAAAGTCTTCCCCAGACAAACAAAAGCGACAATAATTCATCACCACTGGAGCAATATTAAAAAGAAATGCTACAGGGAGTTTTACAATCTAAAAGGAAAAAAAATACTAATGCCCAAAAATAATTTTGAAGGTTTAAAACCCACTGGTAAAATTAAGTACAGAGACAACCCCAGAATATTCCAATACTATAGTTGTTGTGTGCAATCGACTCAGAACTCTAATATTAGACCTAAAAGACAAATCTATCAAAAACAATAATAGCTACAAAACAAGTTAAGAGAGATAGGCATTATAAAATATGCAAATTGAGACAAGTGAAAGTCAAAAAGTGAAAAGGATGAAGTTAAAGTGTAGAGTTTTCTTTAAAAGCTTTTGTTTGTTTTGTGGTGTGTGTGTAATGTAAGATAAGTTGTCATCTCTTTAAAATAACTTGTTTTATCTCTAAGATGTTTTTGTAAGCCTCATGGTAACTACAATGCAAAAACCTGTAATAGATACACTAAAAATAAAAAGCAATGAATTAAACAGTGCTACTAGAGGGAATCACTTAACCATAAAGGAAGACAGCAAGAAAAGAAGGAAGAGAGGAATTACAAAACAATCAGAAAATAAGCAACGAAATGGCAGTAGCAAGTCCTTATTTATTACACTGAATGTGAATAGACTCAATTCTCCAACTAAAAGGCATAGAGTAGCTGAATGGATAAAGAAGTGGACCCAACTATATGCTGCCTACAAGAAACCTACCTTACCTGTAGAGAAACACATAGACTAACACATAGAGAAATGATGGAAAAAGTTTTTCCAGGCAAGTGGAAACAAAAAAGATCAAGAGTAGCTCTGTTTGTATCAGATAAAATAGACTATAAGTCAAAGATTATAAAAAGAGATGAAGACAGTCACTATATAATGATAAAAGGGTCAATACAGTAAAAGGGTATAACAATTATAAATGTCTATGTACCCAACACTGGAGCTCCCAAGTATATAAAACAAGCATTAATAGACCTAAAGGGAGATATAGACTGCAATACAGTCATAGTAGTGGAGTTCAACATCCCACTCTCAGTAATGGACAGAGTACCTAGACAGAAAATCAACAATGAAACATCAGAGTTAAAACCTCACACTAGACAAACTAGATATTCATAGAACATTTGTCCGAACTTCTGTAGAATACACATTCTTTCCATAAGCACATGAAATATTCTCCAGAGTGGAACATATTTTAGGCCACAAAACAAGTCTCAATAAATTTTAAAAAGTAGAAATGATATCAAGTAGCTTTTTTTTTTTACTGCAAAGAAGTAAAACTAACAATCAATAACAAAAGTAATCTTGGAAACTACACAAACACACAGAAATTAAACAACATGCTCCCAGATGACCAATGGGTCAACGAAGAAATTAAGAAGAAAATTTAAAAATTTCTTGGAACCAATGAAAATGAAAATATAACATACCAAAATCAATGGGGTACAGCAAAAGCAGTACTGTGATGGAAGTTTATAGCAATAAATGCCTACATTAAAAAAGTTGAAAGTCTTCAAATAAATGACCTAATGATGTACCTCAAGGAATTAGAAAAACAAGAACGAACCAAGCCCCAAAATTGAATGAAAGAAATAATAAAGATCAGAACAGAAATAAATAAAATTGAGATAAAAAACACAAATTAATGAAATAAAAAGTTGGTTTTTTGAAAAGATAAAATCCATAAACTTTTAGCTAGACTAACTAAAAAAGAAAAGAGAGAGAAATAAACAAAAATAAGTGAAATAAGACACAAAAAGGAGAAACGACAACTGAGACCACAAAAGTATAAAGAATTATGAGACCACTACAAACAATCATATGTCAACAAATTAAAAGACCTAGAAGACTTGGATAAATTCTTAAACACATAAAACCTATCAAGATTAAAACCTGAAGAAACAGAAAAATTTAACAAACCAGTAATGATTAATGAGATCAAAGTGATAATAAAAAGTCTCCCAAGAAAGGAAAGCCTAGGATGTGATGGCATCACTACTGAATTCTACCAAATATTTAAAGAAGATATAATAGCAATCCTCAAACTCATCAAAAAAAATTTAACATGAGAGAATACTTCCAAATATATTCTATGAGGCCAGCATTACTCTGATATATATATACACACACACACATATATATACATATATATATATAAAACACACACACATATATATACGTATATATATACACACACATATATATACATATATACACACATATATACATATATATACACACATATATACATACATATATATACATATATACACATATATATACATATATATACACACATGTATATGTATAAAACACACAAAAAAACCCAAGGACACAAAAAAACATAATACTACAGGCCAATATCCCTAATGAACATAGATGCAAAAATTCTCAATAAAATTGCAGCAAACCAAATTCAACACATTAAAAAGACCATTTACATGATCAAATGGGATGCATCCAATGGATGCAAGGATAATTCACTATAATCAAATCTGTAAACGTGATACATCACATTAACAGAACAGAGAACAAAAACCATATGATCATTTTGATAGATGAAGAAAAGGCATTCAATAAAATTCATCATCCTTTTGTAATAAAAACTGTTAACAAACTTTGTATAGACAGAACATACTTCAAAATAATAAAGGCTATGTATGACAAACATATAGCTAACATAATACTGGATGGAGAAAAATTGAAAGCCTTTCCTCTAAGATCTGGACCAAGACAAGGATGCACTTTCACCAGTTTTATTCAACATAATACTGGAAGTCTTGCCTAAAGCAATTAAGCAAGATAAAGAAAGAAACAACATCCAAATTGGAAAGGAAGAAGTCAAATATGCTTTGAATGCAATGACCTGATCTTGTATTTAGTGAAAACTAGAGACTTCACCAAAAAATTGGTTAGGACTGACAAATAAATTTAGTAAAGTTGCAGTATATACAATCAAGGCTGGGTGCAGTGGCTCACATCTGTAATCTCAGCACTTTGGGAGGCCGAGGCAGGCAGATCACTTGAGGCCAGGAGTTTGAGACCATCCTGGCCAACATGGTGAAACCCTGTCTCCACTAAAAATAGAAAAATTAGAGGGGCGTGGTGGCATGTGCCTGTAGTCCCAGCTACTCGGGAGGCTGAGACAGGAGAATCTCTTGAATGCGGGAAGCAGAGGTTGCAGCAAGCTGAGATTGCACCACTGCACTCCGGGCTCAGCAATAGAGTGAGACTGTCTCAAAAAAAACAAAAAAAAAAAATCAGCATTCAAAAATCAGCAGTCTTTGAATACAGTAACAGTAATCAATTTGTAAAAGGAATCAAGAAAGCAACCCAATTTACAATAGCTACAAAGAACATAAAATATTAGGAGGCAATTTAACCAAAAATGTGAAAGATCTTAACAAGGAAATCTATGAAACATCGATGAAAAAAATTGAAGAAGAAACAAAAAAAAAAGGATACTTTATGCTCATTGATTGGTAGAATCATTAATATTGTTAAAATGACAGTAGTACCCAAAGCAATTTACAGATTCAATGCAATTTGTATCAGAATACTGATGACATTCTTCACAGAAATGGAAAAAAAAATCCGAAAACATAAATAGAACCACCTAAGACCTCCAATAGCCAAAGCAATTCAGAGCAAAAAGAACAAAGCTGGAGGCATCACACTACCTGACTTCAGAATAAATTACCAAGCTATGGTAACCAAACTATCATGGTGTAAAAAAAAAGCTGGCATGAAAACAGACACATAGACCAATGGAACATAATACGGGACCCAGATATAAGTCTATACATTATAGCCAACTCATTTTTTGACAAAGGCACCAAGAACACTCAGTGAGGAAAGAAGATTCTCTTCAATAAATGGTGCCAGGCAAACAATAATCATATGCAGTAGAATTAAACTAGACCCCTATCTCTCACCATATACCAACATGAAATCACAATGGATTAAAGACTTAAATCTAAGACCTGAAACTATGAAACTACTAGAAGAAAACATTGGAAAAATGCTACAAGACATTGGGCTACACCCAGAATTTTTGTGTTAAGACCTTGAAAAGCACAAACTACAAAGCCAAAAATAGATGAATGGGAATACATTAAGCTAAAAAACTTCACACAGAAAAGGAAATAATGAAAAAAGTGAAAAGACAACCCACAGAATAGAGAAAATATTTACAAACTATCCATCTGACAGGGGATTAATGACCAGAATACATAAGGAGCTCAAACAACTCAATAGCAAAAAAACAAATAATCTGATTAAAAAATAGGCAAAGATTTGAAAAGACATTTGAAAAAGATTTGAATAGACATTTACCAAAAGAAGACAAAGAAATGGCCCCCAGGTATACAAAACATGCTCAACATCACTAATCACAGAAATGCAAATAAAAACCACAATGAGACATTATCTCACCACAATTAGAATGGCTTTTATCAGAAAGTCAGGGAATAACAGATGCTGGTGAGGATGTGGAGAAAGGGGAGTCCTCATACACTGTTGGTGGAAATGTAAATACACTGTTGGTGGAAATCAGGCTGGGCACAGTGGCTCATTCCTGCAATCCTAGCACTTTGGGAGGCTGAGGCAGGTGAATTGCATGAGCCCACGAGTTCAAGACCAGCCTGGGCAACATGGCAAACCCCCATCTCTACCCAAAATACAAAAATTAGGTGTGGTGGCATGCACTTGTAGTCCTAGCTACTCAGGAGGCTGAGGCAGGAGGATCAATTGAGCCCAAGAGTTTGAGGCTGCAGTGAACCATTTTCATGCCACTGCACTCTAGCCTGGGAGACAGAGTGAAACCCTGTCTAAAAAAAAAAAAAGAAAAGAAAAAAAGAAAAGACATCAATATATCAAAGAGATTTGCATTCCCATATTTATTATAGCACTGATATGGTTTGTCTCTGTGTACCCACCCAAATTTCATCTCGAATTGTAATCCCCACATGTCAAGGAAGGAAGCTGGTGGGAGGTGATTGGATTATAGAGGTAGTTTTCCCCATGCTGTTCTTGTGATAGTGAATGAGTTCTTATGAGATCTGATGGTTTAAAAGTGTCAGTTTCCCTTCTGCTCTCTCTCTCTCTCCTGTTGGCTTTTGAAGAAGGTGCCTTGCTTCCCCTTCGCCTTCTGCTGTAATTGAAGTTTCCTGAGGCCTCGACAGCCATGTGGAAATGTGAATCAATTAAACTTCTTTTGTTTATAAATTACCCGGTCTCAGGAAGTATCTTTATAGCAATGTGAAAATGGACTAATACAAGCACTATTCACAATAGCCAAAATATGAAATTAAACAAAGTGTCCATCAATGGATAAACAGATTAAGAAAATGTTGTAAATATACACAATGGAATATTATTCAACCCTAAATAAGATTAAAATCTTGTCATTTGCAGCAACACGGATGGAACTGGAGGTCATTATGTTAAGTGAAATAAGCCAAGTACAATAGACAAACATTGCATCTTCTCACACATATGTGGGAGCTAAAAAAGTGAATCTCTGGCTGGGTGCAGTGGCTCATGCCTATAATCTCAGCACTTTGGGAGGCCAAGGCAGGTGGATCACCTGAGGTCAGGAGTTCCAGACCAGCCTGACCAACATCTCTATTAAAAATACAAAATTGGCCATCTCTATTAAAAATACAAAATTGGCCGGGCATGGTGGCACATGCCTGTAATCCCAGCTACTCAGGAGGCTGAGGCAGGAGAATCGCTTTAACCCAGGAGGCGGAGGTTGCGGTGAGCCAAGGTCGTGCCATTGCACTCCAGCCTGGGCAACAAGAGCTAAAGTCCATCTCAAAAAAAAAAAAAAAGTGAATCTCATGAAGATAGAGAGCAGATTGGTGGTTACCAGAAGCTAGGAAGGGTAGAAAAAAGAGGGGATGAATAGAGTTTCATTAATGGGTACAAAAGTACACTTCGCAGAACTAAGACCTGGTAGACCTGGTGCTCAATAGATGAGTAGAGTGACTATAATTAACATCAGTGGATTCTAAGGCAAGATGTGGTGGTTTATGCCTGTAATCTCAGCACTTTGAGAAACCAAGGTGGGAGAATGGCTTAAAGCCAGGAGTTTGAGACCAGCCTGGGTAACAAAGCAAGACCTCATCTTAAAACAAAACAAAATATTAATCAAGTGTACTTTCAAAAATAGATACAGGGGACTAATTCAAACACTCCTAGAGTAAAGAAAATATAAATATTTAAGGTGATGGATATCCCAAAGTGGCCTGATCTGATTATATGAATGTATCAAATTATCACCTGTAGCCAAAAAATATGTATATCTGAGCCAATAAAAAATAAATTACGTAAAATTTTTTTCTAATTTAAAAAAGACCAAGTAGATATGGGATAGAAATGAGCATTTCCAATCAACATAGTTGACTAGAACACTGCACAGTCTTAGAAAATTGTAGCAGGTTATACTGTAATCATTGACCAACTGAATGATGTGTTAATATAACCATTCATTCACGTGTATGTGTTTGTGAAGCTAAGTGGATGCATTATCTAATTGAAGAAGCTGACACACGGGTAGTGATAACCACATATTATATGCATGCATGAAAACAGAAATCAATAATCATTATCTGTGAATTATATCTAGTTCATCAAATTGGGGCCATGGGGAACGCAAAGGTGATATTAGGATGAGAAGAGTCCTCCAACCTTGCCCCCCTGCCAAAAGGCCTGCCCTCCCCTGTAGAACAGAGGAAATCAGGTGAGGATGACAGCATGAAAAAAGTCAATGCAAAGCACCAGTAATCATAACAGTGTCTGGTAAAAACCGATATAGAGGTAAAATTCTGTTCCACCTAGGAGTTTCTTAAATATTTCCTTTTCAGGGAGTATACTAAACACTGGCAGTCCTAAATCAGTAAGGAATAGCAGGTTTGTGAAGTTGAGACTAAAGGTGTTATAAGAAACTAAGAGTGACTGGACTCTAAGCTGAGACGTCAGGGGCCACCTTTCATAAAACTCCCCTCTATTTGTGCTATTCCTTCTTTGACCCTAGAGGCTGGATTCCCTCCAGCTTCTATTACTGGTCTCAGACAAGATTAAATGATACATTTTAGCAGTACTTTACAGGTAGACACTATTACATTTGATACATTTTAGATGACATTCGAATAATGTCAGCTAAGCTAGAATTAGAGACTTAGAGATTCAAAACACTCTGTATACTTTTTCATTTTCATTTTCATTTTTCAGAAATATCTTGTGGTTTTTTAAATCTAAAAACTGCCAAGCTAGGTAGAAGGGTATTACTACTTTTATATGGGATTCTTAGTCATTCAAAATTTGTCATATGAATATATTAAAGAAAAATTAAGTCTTTACATTTCCAAGACACCAAACCCTCCTTCAGTAAACCTTTAGAAAAAATAATAAAAATGTACTCATTTCAAAAAATCTAACTTTCTTCAGTTCCAACAGATATCCAAAGAATAGCAAAGTTGTGATTGTTCTGATTACTGGTAAAAGACAAGGATTTTCCTCACATTGCCATTTCTAGATAATAGAAAATTGAGAATATAACATAAATTAAGTAATCTCTTTCTGTTTCTCCTGAAGTCTCGGGCGCATCTTACAATATCTGGTTCATAAAATAGCTGGCATTTCCATAGCTCTTTGTGAAAGCAGGGAAGGCACAACATAGTCCAATGTTTGATGAATAAAATTTAGAGCCATAGAGATCAGTGTAGGGGTTTTAGATCTTTTACTTACTATAATCCTGGACAACCTTCTACCTCTCAATTTCCTCATTTTTAAAAAGCATAACAGGCTGGGTGTGGTGGCTCACGCCTGTTATCCCAGCACTTTGGGAGGCTGAGGCAGGTAGATCACAGGGTTAGGAGTTCGAGACCAGCCTGGCCAACGGGGTGAAACCCTGTATCCACTAAAAATACAAAAAAAATTAGCCAGGTGTGGTGGCACACACCTGTAATCCCAGCTACTCAGGAGGCTGAGGCAGGAGAATTTCCTGAACCCGGGAGGCGGAGGTTGCAGTGAGCCCAGATTGCGCCATTACACTCCAGCTTGGGTGACAGAGCAAGACTCTGTCTCGAAAAGCAAATAAATAAATAAATAAATAAATAAATAAATAAATAAATAAAATAAAATAAAAGCAGAAGATTATTAATATGTGTTTCATTGATTACTTCTAAGAATTAAAGAAGATAATATATGTAAGTGGTTGAGTGTCATAAAGGTATATACAAAGACTCAATAAATATTAGTTATTATTATTAATAATGGAAAGTTAAAATATATTGTAAGATTACAACATGTAGCTTTTTATTGTTGAATAGATGCTAAATCATATATATATTGAATCAGTTTCACAATATCCCATTTTCTATGAATAAATTGTAATCAAAGATGCTATAGCAATATTTTCACCATAAGCATGTCCATTCTACCATCAAAGTACTAGAGATCTCTCCATATAGGCTCATGTCTACATACCCAACCACACATATGCACACATTCAGCAGATGCAGAACTGAACAAATTATGTGTTTTTGAAGCAAAATACATTTGCATCTAGTTACGCAATTAGCACAAAGGAGAAGAGAAACTTACTCTTTTACAAAGTCTTTTCTCCCTGGTTTGAGATTTATGAGAGTAAATAACAAACTTTAAAATTACCTCTAAACTTATACACTTGCTCTATATTGAATATGGTGTTGTCTTCCTTTGGAGCATGATAGGACTTTTTTTTGTTTTCTTTTTTCCTTTGGCTAAATCTAATATTCAATAATGAATGAATGAATGAATGAATTCATTTACATCTTATGTCATTCAACAAATAATATTTCAGTAAGATACAGAAGTGTATAACATAGACAGCTTGTTTTCAAAGAGAAATATCCATACGATGTACATGTGTGTAAGTATTATATAGGAAAAACAGCCAGCACAATACCTTGCAGTGAGATGATGCTGGATACAGGGGTTCTTTGTATGTGTCTATACATTAAAAAAAAATGTACCGAAAGTGGATCTTCACTGATTTTCTATCATTTCAGCATTGTTTGTACAGAGAACTGAGATTAAGAGAGATGTCAGCGTTTGTCCGTGGATGAGTGAAGGGAAAGCAGGACCAAAGCAGAGAACAGTAATTTCTTTCCTTATTTATTTAACAGCATAGTGGTCTCATCCAAAAATCTCTTGAGGTTCTTTTACCAGGACCTGTCTCTATCTAACACCCCCCCACCCCACCTCTACCCCAATAATTGCAGCCAAGTCCCGTTTTCCCATGTTCTTTGTAGAATACATTTAAAAGTGCAAATGTCCCCAACCTTCTCCTTGTTCTACAATTTTTAAGCACTTATCTTAAAATATTCCACTTAATTTCATGTTTTTATCCATTGTTTAATTGCTGCCTCTCTCAACTAGAATATAAGGCAGTCATCTTTTTTAGATTCTTCACAACCTAAAGATTCTGGTTTATTGACTCCTCTTTTTCATAATCCCAACTTTATTTTACTCAAAGTGATTTCTACTCCAGTCTCCCTATTACCCTTCACATCAGCTCCTCTCTTTGCCAAATAAGGGCATAAAGGATAAAAAAAAAAAGAACAAAAATTCTGAATGTTACTTAAGTTAAATCTTCTTAAAGTTAATTCATTTTAAGTGGTGTATGCATGTGCATGAAAGAAAAATCTCTATGTCTAAGATTCTAATATTTTTCTGGTAGATGTTAATTTATTATTACTTAAACGAGCTATGGAAAAATGGAAACATGTCAGTTAATTGTCATAATTACGCAGTATGTTATTTCTATTGGAGCCTCTGATTTTCCAAGGGTTAATATATTTATTCAATGAAACAATCAGAGACAAGAACAACCCTGATAGGATGCAGAAATCTGAATTAACAAGGCTTTTAACTGTCTTTTTGTATTGATAGACCCCTAATTAAGTATTTTTAGAAACATAGCACTTTTACCAATCAAAAGCCTTTAATAGTCTTCTAAAATGAACTGTGTATATAATCAGCTATCTTTGCAAACCTTGCTTACAAACCATTAGTAAGCAGGCCATCAACCACAGTGTCAATACATTTTAAAAGAGGCTTTAGAAAACACCAATTTTATAATTCCCTTTAGTGGTTTACACTGAGGGAAACATATAATCTTTCTCTAAGGCTTCAAAACTTAGAAAGTAACATAGCTCAGAAGCACACTTTGGTAGGTGCCTAATTACTAGGACTGACTTTTAATTCCTTGCATGGATGACATACCACAAAACTATCTACCAAACAAGCAGGATGGATTCAAATATTATATTTAAAACTACCAAAAAAAACCCCTTGATTTTATTTTGATCCAGAAAGTCTATATATACTCATATGCATATTTTTGGCATGCTTGTTAAATTGTAAGTTTCTGATGGACAAGGACAAATGAAAAATATTTATAAATTGGAAAAGTAAGAAGCTGGAGGCAATTCTAAAGATAATTAAACAATGGAAAAAAACTTTTGAAAACAATCCACTTTAAAGAGGTAATGATGACATACCATAAACGTGATATTGTCTCAGTCAAAATTTGTAGAATCATTTTTTTCTTAGATTAAAAATGCAGCTCAAAAATTGAAAGCTAAAGGAAGAAAACAGAAAGCTTCAGGAATGCTTGCAAATTACTGAATACATGGGATAAGATATGTACATTCTCCATTAATGTAGACATTATCTCCGACATAACAAAGATTTAACTGTGCTTGCTCTAAACGGCCATGGCCTAGGACTGAAGGTTTCCTACCTCTGATTTTTGGAGTTTGGGGTAGGGAGTGAAGAAAGGAAGGGTTTCAGACAAACTCTAACTTTTGAGGGAAACATGGTGTCAGTGGCTTGTGGGTTATAGTTACCCAGATGCCTATTAATCAGGGTGTGACTCCAGCCATTCTATTAAGAATAACCTCTTTGGCAGGACCTAAAATGAGATCTGTACTCCTCTGGAAATTATATATAGCATGCTCCTTTTCCATCGGAAACTTATACTTTAACAAGCATGCCAAAAATATACATCCACACACAGGAGCACACATACATGTGCGTGCATGCAGAGACTAACTTTCTGGATCAAAATAAAGATATTTTTGACTTCTGGTTGCAACTTGTAAATTTACCCTGCTTCTTTGGTAAAGATGGTTTTATGTCTTTGATGCAAAAACTTTAAGAGCCTTAATGATTAGAATGATTAGTTGGCTTCTGTAGTATTAATTTTTAAAGAGAGCTAAAAAGTACAGTCATCGAAAATTCTCTTGTAACTCCTAAGTCTTCCACAGCATCTGTTAAAATCCCTACTATTAATCACAGCTTTTTTTGGGTGAGAGATTATCTCCTTAAGATTCCTACAAAAATTCATCTGTTGGTAGGGTAACACAGTAACTCATGAGCATATGTTACACATTCATGGTATTAACCCCATTGAAATATTCATGTTAATTTAGCTTTTTAACTACTTTAACCAAGCATAAAACAGAATCTGAAGAACTACAACAGCAAATTGTTAAGTTTTGATGTGGGAGAACTTTGAGGAGGAAGAATTTTGGAGGTCACAAATTAAGGGCACTTGACCAGCCAGGAAACAGCTCTAAAATATTTATTATGGAATTAAAAGAAGTCGTAAGAGAGAAGGAAAATACAAATAATGATTTTCCAAAGAGGAATTGGGGGTGTGGGGAACGGAAGACACAATGTTAGTTTAATTTATGGTTTGCCTATGATTAGCTTGCATACTTGAGTAAGGAGTAGGGCAGCTCTAATATTGCTGCCCTAGACCTATAGTATCTCTTGTTTAAGCCAAGATGTTTCATACCTTTGTTTTTAAAAAATTATGTGGTTTGTAAAGAATATCATTGTTATAACTTTATCTGTGTCATTTAGGAAGGACGAGGCTAAAATGTTTCTATTGTTTTCACGATTAACTTTTCTAATAGTTAATTAAATTAAATGAGAAAATAGTTAGCTTAAACATGTTTTCTTATACTTACTAGATTAATCATACTCCTCTTTTTCCTCGGCAAACTTCCGGACCCAAGGCCACAGAGTATACACTAGAATTAGTAGGCTTCCTTCCAGTATGCATTAGCTTTCCGCTCCCCACAATCAGAGTTGGGGTCTTGCCAAATGTCCGTTATGTTTGCTCTCAAACCGGTTTAATTTAGTTGTTATTGGAATTATGTAATTGCATTAAATGTTACATAAACTTATGCAATAAGAGTTGGAAGAAAATTTTTTTTTCTGGGAAAATTGAGTTGAATGTTTTAGAAAGACTCTCTAAAGACAATACGATTTTTTTAAATGCTGTTAAATTAGGTGTGTGTAAAAACTATAGAAGACTTTGAGGAAAATAAAACAAAAACTCATAAAGATTCTCATTATTTTGCTAAAGTTTTATTTTTATTTTTTCACTTTTAAGGAAGCCAATATTAGAAATCTCAGGAGATACATTAGAAGTATGGTGTGTAGGCTGGGAAAGGTGGCTCATGCCTATAGTTCCAGAACTTTGGGAAGCTGAGTCAGGCCATCTGCTTGAGCCCAGGAGTTTGAGACCAGCCTGGGCAACATAGGGAGATATTGTCTCTACAAAAATTAGCTGGGCATGGCTGCATGTGCATATGGTCCCAGCTTCTCAGGAGGCTGAGGAGGGAGGATCGATTGAGCTTGGAAAGTTGAGGCTGCAGTGAGTGGAGATTGCACCACTGCACTGCAGCCTGGGTGACAGCATGAGACCCTGTCTCAAAAAATAAATAAATAAATACATAAGGAAAAAGAAGTATGGTGTGTATGTGAAAGATATGATATGAGCTAATTGAAACAATTCTAATCAATAAACCTGTACTTGAGGAACAGGCCTTGGTCCTGCATCAGAGATTTCAGAATAAAATGCACACAAATGTGTTTCGGTAATATGTCAATGTATTTAAAATATGTAACATTAACACAATTAGAATGCAAGTTAGCCATTTTGTATTTGTTTGTGTATGAATGCATACTATTTTCCTTGTTTCTTAATTTACATGTCAAAATTTTATGAGACCTATTTTCAAGCATGCAATAAAACAGTGATTACCATAGCATTTAGTAAGTTTGTTGGCAATATCTGATGTCTTCTAAAGAGTTAGATTAATTTGGGTCTTTAAAACAGCATACTGATTCCTTGTACTATTTTTTTTTTTAAATAGAGGTCGCTTTGTAAGACTTGTATCTCTGGCAGAACGGATGAAGATGGGAGTGTTCAGGAGATGTGAGGCTGTCTGTGTTTAAATTGTCTTATCAATAACGTGGTCCACAGCAGTGTCTCCCACATTGGTCTCTGAACAGATGATACAGTGTTTCCTAACCCATGATGAAATGAGGAAAATAAAAACAATGCAGTTATTTTAAAAGCCTAAATGTATTTCATGTTAAGGACTGTATTTATTCTTAAACATGTCCATTTTCTTGTTTTGTGTTGAAATTGACTATTTTTTTGAAATTAAAATAACGAAAACTTAGAAAAATCTTTAATAGGCAAAAAAAAGTTTTGGAGTCTCCATATATCCTATGTTGAAGTTTTTCTTTTTTATTTTCTTTTGATTGATACTTATTCCAACCAATAGTAGAGAGAAGGGAGCTAACAGCTCTCTTGGAACAGTATATAACCTGTTTTATCTTTCTTATTTACAGGGAATCCTATGGGGGAAAAAATGGATATAGGCACATGGGGATCATCCAAACAGGTAGACTCTTGGAAAAGTTTGATTAACCCTTGTTCTGCAATCTACAAAACAGAAATATGCAGGGAGCTTTGTACAGCTTTGGTTGCTCGTGGAGGAAGAGGCATGATGAGGCTTTTGCTTTAAGAATGAGCATAGTGGCTGGGTGCAGTGGCTCACGCCTGTAATCCCAGCATTTTGGAAGGCCGAGGCAGCTAGATCACCTGAGGTCAGGAGTTGGAGACCAGCCTGGCCAAATGGTGAAACCCCGTCTCTACTAAAAATACATAAAAAAAAAAAAAAAAAAAAATTAGCCGGGCATGGTGGTGAGCGCCTGTAAACTTAAGCTACTCTGGAGGCTGAGGCAAGAGAATCACTTGAACCCGGGAGGTGCCACTGCACTCCAGCCTGGGTGACAGAGTGAGACTCTGTCTCAAAAAAAAAAAAAAAAAAAAAGAATGAGTATAGCTACTATCAATATGATAGACAACTATGTGACCTAGGTACAAGTGAGGAGGAGGGAGAGGATCAAAAGGTAATTCTCTGTTCAGTATGAAGTTGAACAGAATGAAGTTAAATGAAGAGGCATCTCTGTGGAACCGCATCCATCCTCAGTTGGCTGTGGGCACTATTGATAAAGATTATCAATTACATCACTCATATGTAAAATAATTATAACAAATATAACACATATCAATGATTTCTATTCTGAGATAAGAAACTTGAGAAATCAGTAGAAAAACCAGACTGGACCGAGGTTAGGCTTAGCTTTCTCATAGTTCAAAGCATACTTACAATTTTTTTATAGTTCTCCTAGGAATAAAAAAGCTAATGCAAATACCAAAACAAAACAAAAATGACCTTGGCAATTAGATAAGAGACGCTTAAGCATTTCATTCACTCAATCATTGCATAGCTTTCTTAGAAGAGTAACTCTTTAAGAAAAATTATTTATCAAATATTCACATAGTGCTTACATTTTTGTAGGTGCTTTGCAACTATTACCTCATTTAATTCTCAAAAAAATGATATGAAGCAGGTCTTAGTATTGTTACAGTCCATATTTTATAGACAAGGAAACTGAGAGAGATTAATTAACTTTCCTGAGGTTATACAGTTGAGAAGTGGTGGAGCTGAGATTCACACTAAGGCAGTGTGGCTGAAGAGTCTGCACTCCTGTCCGCTACATGTTGCTGCTTCTTTAGCAAAGGATGTGGTTGTTGTGGCTGCCGTTATGGCTCACATGTTCTTCTTGCCACCACCTTTACCTTTATATCATTAAGATTCCAGAAAACCCTGATAGTGCTTAATGAGCAGTGTTGTCTCTGACAAACCTGAAAATGAGTCCTTTCCCAAGTGATAGTGCACAGCGGCCAGGGGAAGCCAGATGAAAGCTATTGGGTCATGGCCCCTGGAACAATTATTCTGGTGTAAAAGAGACAGGCAGGAGCCATCCTCCCTTATTTTTTTTTCCCCTAAACTGCAAAGGGAAGTCGGGAACTACTGTAATTTACTCAACTCTTTTAAAATCTGTGGATGCACATATTTACCTGCATCTCTGAGAGTTCCTCTTCTTCTGGACTGTAACTGTTCATGGTCTCTGGCCAAGGAAAAATGTGAAACCCAATTCTTTCATCAAGGCCAGGATAAGAAAGCCTGTTTCCTAAGACTTCTATATACTTCCAATTCAGATATACAATCATATCATGTGCAGGTAATAAGTATCTTGCTTCATACTTTCTAATGTTTATAACACATTGATATGGTTTGGCTGTGTGCCCACCCAAATCTTGTCTTGAATTGTAGCTCTCACAATTCCCACATGTTGTGGGAGGGACCCGGTGGGAGAAAATTGAATCATCGGGGCAGTTTCCCTCATACTGTTCTCTTGTTACAGAATAAGTCTCATGAGATGTGATGGTTTTCCCTTTGCTTGGCTCTCATTGTCTCTTGTCTGCCGCCATGTGAGACGTGTCTTCTGCCTTCTGCCATAATTGCGAGGCTGTCCCAGCCATGTGGAACTGTGAGTCTATTAAACCTCCTTTTATTTATAAATTACCCAGTCTCTGGTATGTCTTTATCAGCAGCATGAAAATGGTCTAATACACTCATTCTCATGTCTAGTTAATTATGCAAATATATATAGCTATTTCCTCTAATATATTCATGTCAAGAAATATCCTTTCATATAACAGCAGTTTTAATTCTCACAGTGACTTAGTAAAATAGAGGTTACTATCACTGATTCACAAAAGATGAAGCAGAGGCTCAGAGAAGTGACAGAATTTTATACAAAGTCTCAACAGGTTCAAGTGACTGAGTCAGGTCTGTCCAATTCCATTATACCATACTAATTTTAATATTCAGCTTATGAAGTCAACATGCATAAAGAAATCTGAAAAAGAATCATTTATGATCTACATCTCTACTATAGGGGTGGGTTATAATATTACTAGATATCTAGTCACCTTTCTCCCCTGAACACATGGCATGTTGTTGAAATATCCCAGAGATAAGACCTTTTTCTTTCCACTTGCACTGCTCAAGTGGCGTGCCACCCTGCCGTACACTCTTCTTATCCCAAACCAGAACTTGCCATTATGGAAAGAGGTGCAGCCACAATACCCTAACAGCAATTTCCCATAAATATGCTTTTCCTCTTAAGCATACATCCTCTAGAAGGCAGACTTAAGAAGAGACCTCTGAAGGTAGCCTAATTGTTAAGCTTCTTCATCTTCATGGGTAGCATATATGCCAATATCTAGGAAAGAGGGAAAGGGAGCTTTCCCTCAGTAAGGTTGGCTGGCAGATGAGAGCAAGGATGGAAGTGTGCACCCCAAAGTGCTCTTGCTTTACATATTCAGCCATCAAAGTGATTTAGGAGAGTGTGGCTCATAAACACCCGCCATCACACTGGTGCCATTCCATACCAATGTTTACATTGGTTATGGCAAAAATAGTAAAAAAAATAATAATAAATAAGCATAACACCAGTGAGTTCTTTTGTAAATTTTGGTGTCTAATGATTTAGTGTGTTAGATTTTATTGTGAGGTTATAGCCAGCTTATTTCCGAGGGGTGAAAACACCTTTTAAGAAAGGACAATAATGGTGATGACTGGCGAATGGCATTTGTTTTTACCAAATGAACAAAATTAAAATAAAAATTTAAAAATCTGAACATTTTAAATTTTAATTTTGTTTGATAAAAATTAAAAATGTAAATGAATAAAAGATTGGAGTGTGAAATCAAAATGCCTAGGACTGTTCACTCTAGTGATTCCAAACCTTGATTCTTTTCTCCCCAAACCTTGATTTTAACAACACAAGCCTGTCTCTAGTTATTCCAGTGAATGTGAAATTCTTAAAACTCAATAATTTTAAAGTTTCTTTCTTTCTTTTTCTTTCTTTCTTTCTTTCCTTCTTTCTTTTTCTTCTTTCTTTCTTCTTTCTTTCTCTTTCTTTCTCCCCCTCCCTTCCTTCCTTCCTTCTTTCCTTCCCTCCCTCCCTCCTTTCTTTTCTCTTCCTTCCCTCCCTTCCTTCCTTCCTTCCTTCCTTCCTTCCTTCCTTCCTTCCTTTCTTTCTTTCTTTCTTTTCTTTCTTTCTCTTTCCTTCCTTCCTCTTTCTTTCTCTCTCTCTCTCTCTCTCTCTGTCTCTCTCCTTCCTTCCTTCCTTATTTCTTTCTTTCCTTTTTTCGGAGTCTCAATCTGTCACTGAGGCTGGAGTGCAGTGGCATGGTCTTGGCTCACTACAACCTCTACCTCCTGCGTTCAAGCAATTCTCTTGTCTCAGCTGGTCTCAAACTCCTGAACTCAGGTGATCTGCCTGCCTTGGCCTCCCAAAGTGCAGGGATTACAGGTATGAGCCACCACACCCAGCCTTAAAATTTGTTTCTAAGGAAAGCAGAACTCTATGCCATTCAACATTTTTAAAAGTTTAGGGGAGGAAAGCATTGTATCAGTCAAACAAAGGTAGTTTGTTCTACACATCTGGTGGCAGGTGTGTTATTGGGAAGTTTTCGTTTTAAGCTGGAGTTCAATTGGCCAGTTATAGCCGGCTCACAGCAGTCTGAGAAAGACAGCAGAAATTCCAAGTCTCCCAGGACATGATCCTAGGTGCAGGTTCATACACAGTCCATAAGTAACATTCATCTCTTTACATCTATGGAAAATACCATTGCATTGCAACCTCCTGAAAAAAAAATAGCAAAATTAAGGTAAACTGTAGAGACCATCATTGGAGGATCTGCAGGGAAATAGCCTGCCAAGGTGAGATGTGTGAATACGTGCACATACCTACACCAGGTGGGTAGAAAAGGACCTGAAGGGAAGAAATAGTAAAAGGAAGCTATAAAGCTTCTTTTAAAAAATCTGGGTTCAAGTACTTCAGGATAAATCAAAGAGTATTTCAACAACTCAAAGCAGGTCAGTGAAAAAAGGTTCAGTGGGGTGGGCAGGGTGAGAGGAGAGCTGGAAACCTGTGCAGCTTGCGCGTGGTGTACATCCGGGTCCAGCACAGCATTCGGACACAACTGGAGTCCACCAGTCTTCAGCCCCAAGGGATGAGCCGGCGGAACAAGACTTGAAGATTCTGAGAGGTGGGGCTTGCAGGCCTGGATGGTTAGGAGAATCCATGGTCCCAGGCACAGAGGCAAGCTTCGCTTCCTGGCCAGGTTCTCTTAGAGAACAGCACTGGATCTCGCTAGGCACAGCTGGGCACCTCCTTGGCCAGAGTTGCACCTGTGCCCTTGGCCATGGGAAGCTCCCGGGCCCTCTCCCTTCTACCTGATCCTGACCAGGAAAAGGGGCATGTGTGTGTGTGTGTGTGTGTGTGTGTGTGTGTGTGTGTGTGTGTGTGTGTGTGTACCAGCCTTGCTTGTTTTACTTTTATATGGCTTTATTTTAAAATTTATTACAATACTGTTGGCCCTTGAACAAATGGGAGTTATGGATGCAGAGCCCCACAGACGTGAAAATCCCTGAAGAACCTGACTCCCCGGATTCCTTAAAGGTAACGTGAAGAGTCCATGAACACATAATTTGTATGCTATATGTATTATATACTGTATTCTTACGGTAAAGTAAGTTAGAGAAAAAAATGTTATTAAGAAAATCCAAAGGAAGAGAAAATGTATTTGCCATATTAAATGGAAATGGGTCATCATAAAGGTCTTTATCTTCCTAGTCTTCACATTGACTAGGCTGAGGAGGAGGTGGAAGTGGGGAAAGGAGAGGTAGGAGAGGCAGACACACTGGTGTAACTTTTATTGAAAAATAATCTGCATGTAAGTGGACCCCCGCAGTTTAAACCCCTTTTGTTCCACGATCAACAGCATATTCATTTCTATTATTTTATTTTTGCATTTCACAATTTTATTGTTTAACCAAATAGATTTCTTTTCAGAGAAATCGTAGCCCTAGCATGCTCAGGGGTGTCACCCCCAGCTCTGGCTTGCAGCTTGCCAGGGAGTGTCCTGCTGCTGCCCAGCCCATTACAAGGAGAGAGTGTTTGTCTCAGAACCGGTGAGCCAAGAGCCCTTCCACTTCTGCTCCTCTGGGCCCACTCAGGCCTCTTTTTGTTGCGTGTTCCCTGGTTGGTGCCGCCTGGAGCAACCCCTGTGTCAAGTATGAACCTTTGTTTGGGGTCCACATGTCTGCACAAAAGAGCATCAGCCCTGCCGTCTCTACAAGACTATTGTGAAACTTGAAACTTAGCTTTTGGCTATGTTCTGGTTTTTAGAGTGTGGTTTAGGACGACGTGGGTTTTCATTCTTCAATGTACAGTTTTTAATAAGGCAATGCCAATAGGTTTCTGACACTAATTTTCTTGCAGTAGCTAATCAAAGCCATTCACTCTTCCTTGGCACCCAAGGAAACAGTGCCGTTCTTCTTGCTAACTTTAATGTGCTGAGGACTTTGCACCTATTAAAGCGGTTCACACACCAAAAGCAACTAGGTTTTAGGACAGAATTTAAGTCCCCCAAACAGCATATCAACTTAATTGTAGAGGTTAATATCTTCCATGCAGGAATCTTCTTTCCACAGTGTTCTCCAGAATGCGTGTTTCCTGGCCCACAACACTTTATTGTTGTTGCTATTGTTTTGATAGTACTTGTTCTTTCTCATAACCTGCCTCTTCTTAACTGATACTGGGTTAACAGAACCTTTCCATTTCTTTCATAAAATAGGCTGACTGATGCCAAAGACACTGAGTGTTTAGGAATAGTGGACTCCTCTCTGATAGGTTAGTCAGCGCATTTTTGACCCGAGTAGTTGAGTTATATACTTATCAACAACCTTAGGGTTACAACCTTAAATCGTATTACTTCCCAAACCTGTTTATGTCCATTTTAGATGTTAGTTTAATTATATAATTTAATTAAAAATTATATAAATGATGCAAGATAAGTTTCAAAAGAAAATACCAGCATGTCACATGTATACATATGTAACTAACCTGCACATTGTGCACATGTACCCTAAAACTTAAAGTATAATAATAATAATAATAATAATAATAATAATAATAATAAAGAAAATAGATACTTATAGGGAAGCTAAATAGAATATTTTTGAATATTCTCTGAAAAGCAAGTGATAAAATTACTGTTAAACTAGTTGTGGGAGACTGACAGTGGAGAAAAAAATTATGAAAACCCAAAAGTCAGTTCTCAGCTGGTTATAGTGTCTTTAATTGTAACTTTGAGCTAGTCTTAAGTTCTTGTTCCACTTGAAAGAAACTGAACCTGGAAGTTGTACACAATGCATTATGTGAATGGCTTAGGTAAGAAAGCTGATGTAGAATTCCAATCAATGGGTTCATATTTAAAGAAAAGGATTTGACTCTATATCAAAAGATTGGTGAATGAAATGTGGATGTCTATGTGTATTTGTAAACATTACGTGTTTTAACTTAAAATACATAGATGTGTTTTTCCATTAATAGACTAACCAATGGTGTTAATACTATTAGATAAGTGACTTGTACTTCATTTAGATGTTTTTGAATTTCTTGAATTTTAGGTTTTAGTTTGTTTTGTTCACTGCTTTATTCGGAAAGGTGCCTGGCACCTAGGCTATCAATGCTTGTTGCAGGTGTGTGAATGAATGTGATGATTGGGTTCTTCAATTTGAAATAACAAAATGTAAACGTAAATATATATAAAGGTGTCCTTCAGACCACCTTAAGAGTCAAAAGTTGAGGGTTGCTGGAGGTGAAGGAGAAGGCGAGGAAGAGAATTGCGCCCTTTTGAAGGGCCTAGTACAACTGAGCGGGGTGGCTTTGTCAAACTCTACCCCACCAGTCTGACATGTATCCTCAATGTATATCCTTCAAATTCTTCCTGTCTTTTCTTGGCTAAGATCCACTGCAATTTTGTTAAGAACTACTGCCCCCCTAAACTCTTATCTGTATTGTAATTTGCCTCTGAAACACTTAGATTTAGTTCTTTGTATATTAGGATTGATGCGTCTCTTGGTTTGCTTTGAACTTTAACACACACACTTTTATTGCACATTTGATTGTTTATTGGTTGAGAGAAGACAAAGAGTTAGCCAACAGATTGTTTTGAAATTAATGAGAAATTACCAGCAATTTGCTAATAGTTATGTGACTTAACTTGATTTCGTTATTATCTTTGTTATGTTGTGAAATATGGTACATATAAAGAAAACCCAGTAACATTATAAAAAACGAAAACCAAAAAAACTGAAATCTTGTGTGCCTGTCATCCACCTTGAGAGAAAAGACAGTACAGGCACCTTGGAAGTCAGCTGAGTGCACACCCTCCCACCTTATGTCCCTTCCCATAGTACCCAGGAGTTGCCTGTACCCTGAATTTGGCGCTAATCCTTGCCTCACTTTTCTTTATAATTTTAACGCATTGGGTGTCTTCTTAAGCAATCTGTTGTTTCATTTGCCTGTTTTGGAAATTGAAATCAATGGAATCATATTCTATTCCTCTGTTACTTGGTTTTTCATTTAACATTTAGTTTTTTTTTTTAAGATTCTTTTTCACTGATACCTATAACTATAGTTCATTGATTTTCCATTCCATAAAGCATTCCAGTGTACAAATGTGCCACAGTTTACTTATCTTATCCAGTGTTACTGGACTTTTGACTTATTTATATATTTTTTGCTACTGTGAGCAACATCGCTATGAGGTTGGACATGCCTCTTCTGCTCAGGTGGAAGAATTTCTCTAGCCTATAGTATTATACACAGGGATGGTCATATAGCATGGATATACTAAACTTTACCAAGTAAAGTCAAATCATTTTCCCACATTGGTTTTAGCAGTTTACACTCCCACCAGCTGTGTATGGATGTTTAAATTCAACTTTTCAAAACAACACAGGCATGTGTAGATTTATATATATCTTGAAATGCTGCTTAATGGCTGCAGTTGGTATAAAGAAGAAGCTTGATGTGCACTTCCTTTAAAGCTTACATTCCCCAAAAGAAAAGGAAAGCCAGGGAATATGTATGATTCTGTTTAGGTTAATTTATATTGGCTTATATTGGCTAAATAAAGAAAAACTAAGTAGTAGACCTGAAAACGAAAGGAAATCATTTTCTTGTTTCTCTTAATTAGGTCTTTGAACTTAATTGCTTGGTGTGAAGGGTAAATTCCTGGAATATATGCTATACCGTATGTATTATAACACAACCCGGAGTCATTTTGTCTTTATTTTGTAAGAACTATAATAGGATACAATTAACAGTTGACTACAGATTTTCTTGAAAATATTTTTGTTAATTCTAGAATTATTTTGCTTTCATTTTATGACTATTATACATTTTCTAATTTAACAGTTTCTTGAAGTAACATTCCCTCTATTCTGTGAATTATTTTTGATGTTTTGTGATTTAAGAAATGAAAATATATGCAAGTTTTACATTTTAAACAACAAACAACTTTTATTTCCTTATTATTTTAAATTATACTATGGAAATATTTTTAAATCATTTGTGACACAGTGACTTATTTGCCACATGTGAAAAAGACACTTTATTCCAAAGACGCTGAATTTCATTGTCCTATCAAATACTTTTAATTTCAAGTTTCAACATATTTTAGGTATACAGTATTTTGATCCTAATTTCCAAGCTAACAAAAATAAGTGACTCCAAGAAATGTAGAACTTACAAGAAAATGAGAAAGGAAATATTTTATATGACCAAGTTGAAATCAATAGAATGTATTCTGTTATAAATATATCTTAATTGTTATTTCTGGCACACATAATTAAATGCTATTATTTCTGAAAATGTAATAGCCCTTGAATTTGGCAAATAATACTTAATTTTAAAATAGTTATTAATTACTAGCTATGAGGAGATTATTTAACCAATTCAACCATTTCTTCCTATTTTGTATAAATCTAAAATTCAACATGAATTTATTATTTTGCTATAGAATTTTGAAAATAACGATGGGAACTATGGAATAAATGTTAGTATTTATTAATTTATATATAATCAGCCAATAAATGTTACTCCAGCTATTCAGTTTTGTTTTGTACTAACATTTGTAATAGTATAAAGAAAACATGTTTATGCTTGACAAGTATTTGGGAATTTACTGTTTCTTAGTAGTACCCAGGCTCACATTGTGACAATGAATTAAGACATAAGATCCTATTGAACAATTATCTTTTAAAAGGGAAACAATAGTTTTACTACTTGTTTTCTTTTACTTGTGCATTCTGTCCTTAGCTACAGCATGCACAGCTTGACTATTTTAAGGAATTGAACAGCTGCTAATTAGTGGTTTTAATAGTCAAGAAAAGGGTGAAGCATGTTGTGCATATAAACCCAACCTAAATGTTTTCTTCTGAATAGGGTTGCACAAAAAAAAAACCCTTTTAAAACTGCATTTTCTTCATGATCCAAAGTAATATAACCATGTAGATCTGCACCCACTTCTCTCACCATGATCCACAATAGATATGCTTTAAAATAATTTTTTAAAAAGTTTACAGACTCTTAAGTTGTGGGCACACACAAACAAAAGTGAGAACTGTATTATACATCAAGAAACCATGTCTAACTTATATTTTAAAATTCTTACATCTGTATGTTCGGGAATTATATTCCTAATGGTTTTCACCTTAAACAATATTGCCTAAACTCCTCAAATAATGCTAATGAAAATAGGTTATAATTGAAAAGTTTGTTTGCCCAGAATGATCAGAACTAATCTATTCAGAATTAATAGTGATTCTGAAGTTTAGAGAACTTAAATGATTGAAAAAAGATATTTTAGTCCCCAAATGTGGTTTAACTCAGACATAGGATATGGTACTAAATACACCAGCTTTAAAATCAGAGATGCCTTAGAAAATTTTATACAGTGTAAGTAGTTGAGGGACTATATTGAGTTATTTGTTGTTATTTTGTCTCAGTTGCAAATATTTGGGTTTATCTGAAAAGGGAAAAAAGCTTCCTGTAAAACCCTACACATTTGATTATGAGAGAATATTTTATTTGCCATTTCAACAAAATCGAAATTTGCCATGGTAACAATTTGCAAAAATTTAAAAAATGACTTAAAAAGGAGCTATCATCCTTCAATAACAAATATCTTAACATTGTATTTACCTGAAAATCTAAGTGGATCTGCAGATAGGAGTGAGGCACAATCCCTCCATGTCAGGATGGGTTGAGAAGCATCTGCAGAAACCAAAGGAGAGGATGACTGAATAGCTCTTTTTTTTTTCCCCAAGGACCTACTTGTGTCCTTTGACTACTCTTACTAAGTTTTTATTTTCAAACTTCACTTGTTTCTAGTTTGTACAGGTGGAGTTTTTCCTCTTGCTCAGTGGTAATGATCTTAGTCCCATTGAATGTGTGGGCTTTTTTATATATAATATTCTCTGAAAGGGCCATTTTCGTTTCATCAATTATTACCCATACCACACGGTCCATATTACAGTCTGGCTCTCACTGACGTGGCATTTGCAGCTTTACAGAGACACCACAGGAAATTGTTCTTCAAGTGTTAACCAGTGGGATTTAAAACAAAACAAAACAAAACAAAATGCTTATTAAAAAAAAATCCTTCCAAGAAAATCCCATATGAAATGCTTCCCGTATTTAGATTCCCAGGATTTAAAAAAGCCATTTGATTTCAAATAATTGAGAAAACTTGCTTTATTAGAGTTTGCTGTTATTGTAAATTGCATCAAGCGTGAGATGTATGATTTAGGCAGATTTGAAAGAAATATCATGCAGAAGGAAAGAGAAGCAGCAGAAAAATAGGCTCTTCGTTCCTTTCTCTTCACTGTCATGATCATGCTCATTCATTAAAAGGAAGATTCTGAAGACCATACATTTGTAAATTATTTCTGCTGTTGTCCACTGGACCAGCAGAGACTCTAATTAATAGTGAGTCGTCTCAGCTACTTTCTGAAATTTTTGCCACAGCCGCTTTCAAGTAGCAATTTTTGGTTTCACTGATTTGCCCTTATCCTGCCTACCCTCTGGTGGTGGTATTCAGTAACAGTGAAATGGCTACACAGGGAACCACAGAGAAGAAAAGCACGGGAAATACATCACATTCCCAATGGCAAAATGAGTGCCACGACAATTAAAATTAAATTGTACCATAAATACCCAAGGAAAGATTTTAAAAATATCAACAAACTCACAGTTGATGGTGATAGTTTCTTGAGAAAATATCTTTTCTCAAGAATTGGGTTTTTTTTTGGCCATAATTCTCTTATGTTCAGCCCTTAGACATATTTTAATACTTAGAGCAGTGTGTTGTGAGCAGAACTAAAGTTTGTTCTGCTGTACATAAGTTTGAAAGGCTATCTGGATTGTCTGAAATTAATTATATGACATTAAAAATTATTTAAACAAGGAAAGAACTCATTGACTCGGGAAAAATAGCAGGCATACCAATACATAGCAAACAGAATTATTTGGGAATTGTCAAATTTTGCTCTTGTATTCTCTGTCAATTCTTTGTAAAATTGATGTATATTAACTCTTTTAGCTTAAAAAGGTTTATTTTAAACTTTAAAAAACTTAAAACAATATTTAAAATTTAAAAAGTTAGCCAAGGGTTGTTTTTATAAGGTTTAAAGATGCTCACAGATAGACCCAGGAAGTTTCCAGGATAGACAACACTTTTGTGCCCTGGAAGTTTGTGTGTGTGTAGGGGGCGGGGAGGTGTGTGTAGAGCAGGAAGAAGATGGGGATTCTCTAGCACAATTGCAGAAGAAGGAAGTAGCTACTGTCTCTACGATTTACAAAGATGCTAGACTCATAGAGTATACTCTTAATTGTTTGCTGATAGTCACTTGCAATTTGCAACACGTTTTCAAGTCATGGGACTCTGAGACAGCTGTAGTCTAATTTCAATGCCAGGTTAAGTACCATAGTGCTAGTCATGAATTTCTAAGAATTTAAAATGCAATCCTCTGATATTCACTACCTTTGGGACACTTGGTAAGTCTGTTAATTCTTTTGTTTGTTTATTTGAGATGGAGTTGCTTTGTCACCCAGGCTGGAGTGCAGGGGCACACAATCACAGCTTACTGCAGCCTTGACCTCCCTGGCTCAAGTGATCCTTCTGCCTTGGGCTCCCAAAGTGCTGAATTACAGGCAGGAGCCATTGTTCCCAGCCCGAGTATAATTCTTTACACCCATTTCTCTCCCATCTATTCCTCTCTTCCTGCTATACCGTACAGCTTCCCAATTATAATGTTTTTCTTAGTACCTAACCCAGGGTTTACAAGGCCTTTCTTAAAGCGGATACTTCAAAGATACGTTTGATTGCTTGCTGTGCCAGTCATTCATTTATCGCCTCTCAGCTCCAAATTCACCCTTGAATATCTGTTCTCAGGGTCTATATTGAACCCTTGATGGTTTTTTTTTTCTTTTTGAGAGCATGTTGTAAATTTAGCCAGTGGGTGTGGGAGGGAAATTGCAGGAAGAAGTTAACTTTTCCTGGTTCCTGTGTGTATTTTCATTCTTGCTTCTGCTGCCTGGTTAGTCAGTGGTGGAAAGACATGCAGTGCTCCTCTGCTGGACCATGCGACCAGTGTGTGTAGTTCCTGGAACTACCTTGTATCCTTGGCCTGGGCCAGGTGACCCGCTTCCTGCAGGACTCTCGATGTTGACACTGCATGCTCCAGGCTTCTAACCTGCAGCAGCTCTCCTACACACTTTGCACATCTTCCTGCTAGCTGTGACTCCCTTGCACCCTCGAGGATTATTTCAAGTTTTTCTAGCCTCTGGTGATACAGTAAACTTCTCTGCCCTCCAGTGGGCTACAATAATATTTTCTCCAATTACATCTGAACCTTGACCTTGAGAAGAGGGCCCTCCTTCCAAGTTCGTCCTTCTTTCGTCTGCTCCCTCTGTTTTAGGGTACACTTCAGTGTTCTCTTTACATCTTTGTAGCTGCTTTCCTCTCACAACGGAAAATTCTTCATTTTAAACATCTCCTGCTTAAATTACTGTGTGATTTTTGTCTCCCGATTGGGCCCAGACTCATACATTGACTGACAAAGTATGACATTATCATATAAAAAACTATGATGGTTGTAATTGTACCCTCAGTTATACTTCTTATTTATATTAACATATTCAACGTTTTAAAATGTCATCAAGTTTCTTTGTGCTTACTATCATCACAGAAATAATTTATATAATGTCACTGAGCACCAGTGATATAAATGGTATTAATACCATAGGTTTGTTTTCAATTTTATTCAAATTTCTACTTTGCTTGTAATCTGATTTCTATAAGACCAACATTTATAAAACAGTCAATAAATCATATTTATAAATATTTCTATCTCAGCTGTTGAGCTTTTAAATTTTGGGAGATAGATCTAAAAAGTACAGTGTAAGTGATAAAATATTTTCTTGTATCTATAGTGTTACATAACTAGGAAGTATTTTTTTATTCCAAATAGTAACTATTTATAATTTTTACTACCTTGGGATCAAGGTGACATTGATTTCTATTGTACTAGTCAAGATTTTTACTTTGACCACAAGACAGCAACTCCTTCACAGGTAAAACATGTGATGAACCATCGTGCAGATAACAGGAAAATAGTAGATGTCTCCATATCAAAAATGTCTGTATATCAAAGATGCCATTGGCTGAGAATCACAATGTAATTATTTATGTAATGTAGGAAGAAAAGAAAGTGCTGAAACTAATTGTAAGACACTGTAAATTGTAAGGCACAGTAAATGTAAAATATTCTGATTTCACAGATGTTAAAATGTGAAAAAATATGTCTCTTAGAGTTGATGAAATATGGTAGAACTCTAGATAATTTTTAGAATCAATATCCTCGGTATTGCTGCCCTTACAAAATTATCAATATTTTAGCTGAAGGAAAAACTACTTTGTGAAAATTTACCAAAATACATGCATTGCAGATATTCTACAAAAGACTTCTTAAGTCTCAGGTCCAAGGTCCTCAAGTACGGTGGTTCGCAAATTATTTTAACAACAACCCACAAGCAATAATTTTTACATATTGACCCAGTACAGATTTATATATAATAAAAACAAAACTTTTGCAAAATAATATTTAGTGTTACTATGTATGATTATCCTGATGTTTTATTTTTTTCTTTATTCTATTCTGTTTTATTCATCTAAACTATAAGGCACAGAGCATACATTCTATTTTTCTTATGTACTCCCACTCTCACCTTAGTTTTGCATCTATACCTTAGTTTTGCATCATGAATTTCTAAGCAATAGAATAGAAATAGCATCATGAATTTCTAAGAGATAGCATATTATGCTATCTCTCTTGTAAATATCAATTAGTCATAGCTGAGTAAATATATATTTAATGTCACCATTAGTTTATTTATTTTGTTTTTTTAAATTTTGATGTCTCTCCATTCTTTAAAGATATCTGAAGTTTGTTCTCTGGATCATTACTTATGAAAGGTACAAGAATTTTCTCTGAATTCTTGCATATTTGTATTAATTTGTCTGACACTTTTATACTTGAAAATCAGTTTGGCTACAAATAAAAGCTGTGACTTCCATTTTTTTTTTCCTTGAGGATTCAAAATACATTACTCTATTGTGTTTTGGCATAAAATATTGCTGTGCAAAAGTCTGGTAGCAATCTGATTTTCTTTCCTTATAAACTACTTGGTCTTTTTAATTCTTTTTTTGCCTCGAAGGCTGAAAATTTTTCTGTTTTTGTTCTTTCAAGCCCAGTAGCTTCACTAGGATATGTCTACCTTAGTCCATTCTGGATCAGTTTTCCTAGGTGTGATAGGCAACCTTTCAATATTAATTTCAAAGGGTCTTTTATTTCAGGAAAGTTTTGTTAAATTAACAAAATACAATTTTGTTAAATTTTTCAAAAACATTTTCTAAGATTATGGTTTGTATTATTTGTTCTAATTAATGCATTATATGTATTTTGGATATTCATTGCATCTGTTCCATCACCTTCTTTCAAATTCCTTTCATCTTTTTTATCTTTTTAACATTCCTCTTTCTCTTATTCGATTTTTCTCAAGGTATTATCTGTTCTGTTTGTTTTCTTTTGTGTTCCATCTAGTTTAATCTTTATTTATCAAAGTATATTTGTTTTAATTTTATTTCTTTCCTGTGTTCTCTTTTCAAATTATCTTTTTCTTTTCTCTTTCTAAATCTTCATTTTTTCCCCAATCACCTCATTAGTAAGTTTTTATAATTCTGACATATGTTATCCTTTCATAACTTTTATTATTTTATTTTTTCTTTTATCATCTATCAAAATATTAGGTATATGTATAAATTATATACATATTATTATATAAATTATATATATTATATAAATATATATAAACATATAATATATAAATATATATATTATATAAATTATATAAAAACTGTCTTGACCTACTCTCCCTCCTTGAAAGAACAAAATTACCTTCCTACAGTCCAGGAAAACCTGCCAGAAAAACACGTCCCCAGAAAAAAGATATATATATATGATATATATGATATATATATGATATATATTATATATATTATATATAATATATATAATATATAATATAAATATATATGATATATATGATATATATATCACATATATATAATTATATATATCATATATATATATAAATATATATCTTCTTTCTGGGGACGTATTTTTCTGGCAGGTTTTCCTGGACTGTAGGAAGGTAATTTTGTTCTTTCAAGGAGGGAGAGTAGGTCAAGACAGTTTTTTTGGCTTCTTGGCTCTAGAGCTCCCTCTTTGGTTGAGACAATGATAAAGATTGTATCTCATGCTTTTTGAGATAGGCATCCTTTGTTCTTCCCCTCAATTTTTATCAAAACCTTCTTTTTCCTATGTCATTCCTGTTTCTCTCTCTGTTCGATTTGGATTCTATTCCCATTGAATTCTAATCCTCAGCAGGGGAATTTGTCTCTAAAATCAGTATGGTATATTAGTTTAGTACTCTACAGGATTCAGAGTCCTTGGGCACCATTAGACCACATCATACTTTAATACTCTGTATTTATTCATGAATTGAGTCCCGTAGAAACCCTTTGTGGTTTTGGATTCTGTTCTCAAAGTGGCCTGCTGCAATTTCCAGTGAGTACTCTATGGCAATTAGATTGTTCATTATTCTTAAGACTATCAAGCCAGTTCCCTTCTCTCCACTTCCTGCCAGTCAGATGGTGATTCCCTCTGTGTCTCATAGCTCTTTATGGTCTGTTCCCATATGCTCACACTTGCATTATAGATTTCTAAAGTTTTCTTTTAGATGTTTCTGGATTTGCTATTCTTGCTTGCCTGTCTATTTTCTTGGAGAAATTAAAGGAGATTCCAAAACCGTATTGCTACTGCCAAAACCTTACCAGAAGCATTTTGCTTTGTAAACTGCCCATTCCAGCCCATCAGAGTGATTTCATCAATTTCTGATAGGTTTGGACCTGCAGTTTGAAAAGCTGAAGTTTATGTTTGTGCATTGTGGAACTTTTGGAAATACCTATGCAAAATACTGTGCTTATGTGCATTTCTCTATGGTGATATTCTATTCACTCTCCAACCCCCTCACCTTCAATTCTCTTCAGTGTCTGATTTCCAAAAAAAAAAAAAAAAAAAAAAACCTGCTCTGAAATATATTCATGGATTCAACAACGCCAACAAAAATTTATATGTGGACTATATTGTTTTCTAAACCCGTTAATCTCCAAAGGATCTCTTTTATGGAACATTTTTTTTTTTTTACTATGTAACCATTTCATTACATTGAGGGATGTTAAAAGAAATAGCTGTATTTGCTGTAAGGATGTTTTAAAATGCATGCTTTTTATGTTGTTATTTCCTCTTAAGTATCCACAGGAAAAATTTCTGTCATGTCTCAGTATCAGGAATTGTTAAATGTTCTTCATTGTATTTGAAGAACACATAAAGAAATAACTTATGAGTATTTTTAGTATAAAGATAATTAAAGAAAATACATGGCTAATGCTTAAACTCTAAAATTTGATAAAAGGCATAATTATTTTAATATTGTGTTATTAACAGAAAATACTATAAATTTGCCTGCCTTGATAGTACTATCCAACAATATTCTTTCTTCATTTATTCTTTTTGTTGTAGACTTCTGGGACTCTTCTAACTCACGTTGAAAATAAGAACCTTGAAATAATGTATTACAACATGGATAGATAATATGGTAGTTTCTTTACTTGGTGAAATGTCTTTATGTTCTCAATTATAAAAAATCTAGACTCTCCATCATGTCAAACAACTGTACATACTTTCATTTTTGTTACTTGTATTATTTCCTGGAAATAACAATATTTCTTAACGACATTTTAATATTTGTTAATGCTCTTTACAGAGCAACATTTCTATCTTACTGTCTTTAAGACAATGAGATTTCAAAGTGGTTGGTTCTTTTCTTCTATTTTGAATATAAATACCCCATTGATTTAACTTGAGCTAGTGGAACTATTATCCCAATAAGTATATAAAAAGTTGAAACATTGTTTATATTTTTCACGTGTTCTATTAGTCCATTTTCACACTGCTATAAAGAACTACCTGAGACTGGGTAAATGATGAAGAAAAGAGGTTTAGTTAACTCACAGTTCTGCAGGCTTAACAGGAAGCATGACTGGGAGGCCTCAGGAAACTTACAATCATGCCAGAAGGTGAAGAGGAAGCAAGGACTTTCTTCACACGGTTTCAGGAGAGAGGGAGAGTGAAGGGGGAAGTGCCACACACTTTCAAACAACCAGATCTCATGAGAACTCACTCACTATCATTAAAACAGGAAGGGGGAAGTCTGTCTCCATGATTCAATCACTTCTCACCAGACCCCTCTACTGACACATAGGGATTAAAATTTGAGATGAAATTTGAGTAGGGAAACAGAGCCAAACCATATCAGATATCATTACCACTTTCTTTTCTAATTACATCTTTTGAAAAACACTTTGAGTATAAAAACAATATTTCATTAGGAATTTGGTGAATAATGTAAAAATTGCATTAGATGTTTTGATTTTATAATTTTATAAAGTCCAGTAATATAAAATTATTAGAAACCAAACATGGGTGGGCGATGAGGCTAATTTTAGCAGTACGATGCTGTGATCATAAAATTTTCCAGATTTGCCTGAGTTCTCTGAATGTTTTCCTAAATGTGTTACTATTCGATGGGCAGCAAAGATCCAAACACCAGTTTAGGGAAAGAAATTTAGGAAAGGACTCCAGATTCTAGGACAGGAATTGGTAAGGGCTTGGAAGAACTTCAGTTCTATGGGGCACTGAGTTGTAAGCAAAACTGGAAATCAGAAAAACAGAAGCAAAAGCAGGCCCTGATCCATCAGACCTAGTGCACTGTGTTAGCACTGGACTGCTGCCCATAATGGTGAGTCTCAGAAGGTGTGGCTGGGACCATTTACATATCTGTTACTGAAACACCAGGGATTTGGTCTAGGTGCTGCTGCTCATTGCATGGAAAGCCCATCACTGACACAATACACTACTGACAAGGAAGAAGGCTTTAATTGGGCGCTGCAGCTGAGGAGTTGGGAGCTCAGTCTCAAATCCATCTCCCTGATGGACTAAAACTAGGGGCTCATATAGCAGGGAAGAAATGTGACAATGTGTAAGAAAACAGGAACTATTGAAGGGCAAGGAAGCAATCATGACGATTGAAGGGTCGGCATCTGATGTGGTGATCTCGTGAGTTTCAGTTATTTGACACTTTTTTTAAAAGAGGCCTGAAGGTTGGTTTTCTGAGGAAGAAATTTAGATAAAACAAATGTTAAGTTTCAAATTTTAAGATCATATGAGTCAATTTTTATGTTTATAAAAAAACTATGGGACTACTGGATCAGTTTCATATCCACTGTTACGCATAACTGCTAATCCTCAGAACCTTGGGTGTAACCTAAAGGTGGGCATAAACGATTATGGGGGAAAAAGGCAGATGGATTTATAAATAAGTGTGTCAGATAATTAATACAGTTGAAGTAGTGTGTCATCACTACATTTCTATAAATGAATTAGTCAAGGAGAAAAAATGAAATTATTATAGGAAACACAGGGAAAATTAAGATGATCATTATCTAAGAGTACATGTAACAAGGGCAGTTTTCTAAAAAAATGTCTTTCCTTCAAAAACTTGCCTATTTTTCAGCTAAGCGGCCTCTGCTTGACTCCTTGACATTGACTGCAAGAGTTGGCCTAATGACATGTTTCGTTTAGTTCCTGGAGGAGAACAAAAGATCTTTCTTTGTGAAAATCCAAACCATCCAACTTTAGGCCTATCCTTAGTATTCTCCCTGTGTGAGAGTCTGGGCAGAGGGAGGGACTTGGCTGATTTCAGGGCTCTGAGACTCTAATAAATCTCAAATCTGGGATTAAGTATAGTATTAAGATGAGTCACAAGAGTCCAGTGAACTTATTGTAAAATAAACTAATTGTAAGAGTAAATCTAAAACAGTTTAGTGCAGCCTCATAAAAGCAAAAAAAAAAGGACAGTTCTATAATTAAGAAAATCTGTTTGCAACACCCAACAGGAGAGAACAAGTCTTCTGACAGTAGCATTTTTATCTCTCTAAAGACAATACTTTATGATAGTGAAAATCTACTCACTGACTACTGAGACTTATTTAAAAGAAAAGATGTGTATTTATACTCATGCAGTTAACTTCTCCTGCAGTTAACTTCTCCTGGCAAGCTCTCTGGGTATGCCAGGCATTGGTAGTAAATAACAACAGAATAGGTTAACCTTCCTCCTTAGTAAAGATTTGATTAATAAGAATTTCCTCAGCTGGGCACAATTGCTCACACCTGCAATCCCAACACTTTAGGAAGTGGATGTGGGCACCTTGCTTGAGCCCAGGAGTTTGAGACCAGCCTGGGCAACATGAAGAACGCCATCTCTACTAAAAGAAAAATTAGCTGGGCATGATGGTGCATGCCTGTAGTCCCAGCTACTCGGAAGGCTGAGGTGGGAGGATCACCTGAGCCCAGGACACAGAGGTTGCAGTGAGCTGAACTCCAGCCTGGGCCACAGACCAAGAGCCTGTCTCAAATTAAAAAAAAAAAAAAGAATTTTCTCAAAAGTGATATCACAGGTCTCCTGCAATTCAAATGAAACCATAAAACATACAAAAAGTTTCCTTTCTCACAGCAAATGATAATTTAAAATTAGACTACAGAAAGGGAGGCTGAGACATAAAACCATGTACCACCTTTACTTTGCAGGCAGATTAGTGGCATGGCTTCACTGCTGTCTTTCCTGTTGCAACTGAAGTTTACATTAAACTCATAAGAGAAATAATTATACGTATACTGCTTAATTTTTCTTAATGCACTTTTGAAAAACCTGGCATTAAATTTCTTTTCTTTTTTTTTTGGCTGACTGTCTTTACAATTGCACTGGGATATTAGATCTATAAAGACAGGAACTTACTGTATTCCCATGTTTGAAATAATGCATGACACATAGTAGGTGTTGAATAAAAGAGTTGAGGCTGGGTGAGGCAGCTCATGCATGTAATCCCAGCACTTTGGGAGGCCAAGGCAGGAGGAATGCTTGAGGCCAGGAGTTTGAGACCAGCTTGGGCAACATTGTGAGACCCTGTCTCTACAAAAAAAAAAGTTTACAAAATTAGCTGGGCATGGTGGCATGTACTTGTAGTCATAGCTGCTTGGGAGGCTGAGGCAGGTCAATTGCTTGAGCCCAGGAGGTCAGGGCTGCAGCAAACTATAATCACACCACTGCACTCCAGCCTGAGTGACAGAGCAAGATCCCATGATATGGTTTGGAGCTATGTCCCCACCAAATCTCATGTCAAATTGTAATCCTCAGTGTTGGACGTGGGACCTGGTGGGAGGTGATTGGATTATGGGGGTGGAGTTCTCATGAATGGTTTAGCACTATCCCCTCGGTGCTGCTCTCGTGATAGTGAGATATCGTGAGATCTGGTTGTTTAAAAGTGTGTAGCCTCTCCCCTGCCCCCCTTTTCTTCCTGCTCTGGCCATGTAAAATGTGCCTGCTTCCTCTTTGCCTTCCATCATGATTGTAAATTTGCCAAGGCCTCCCCAGAAGCAGAAGCTGCCATGCTTTCTCTACAGCCTGCAGAACGGTGAGCCAATTACACTTCTTTTCTTTATAAATCACCCAGTCTCAGGTATTTATTTATAGGAGTGCAAGAATGGACTAATACACCCTGACTCAAAAAAAATGAATCAATGGATGAGTGAACAAATGGATATTCTAAAGGACTGTTTTTCTAATTGGGTGTTTGTACTACAATCTCATGAAGGAAAATTTATCTTACAGGAGAGTGATGACAAAGGGGACAAAGCTAAAGGAAATGGTGGTCTTTCTTTACCTAGCAGGCTCATGTACTCTAAAATAAGAAATAGTGCCTGTAATCCCAGCACTTTGGGAGGCCGAGGTGGGCGGATCACTTGAGGTCAGGAGTTCAAGACCAGCCTGGCCAACATGGCGAAACCCTGTCTCTACTAAAAATACAAAAAAAAAATTAGCTGGGCATAGTCGGATGCCTATAATCCTAGCTACTCAGGAGGCTGAGGTAGGAGAATAACTTGAACCCTGGAGGCAGAGGTTGCAGCGAGCCGAGGTTGCACCACTGCACTCCAGCCTGGGCAACAGCAAGACTCCAACTCAAAAAAAAAAAAAAAAGAAAAAAGAAAAAAAGAAAAAAGAAAAAAAAAAAGCAGAACCCCAGCCATTTCATGTCTCTGATTTCCATCTTTGGCTTATAATTGGTTTATATTTTCTAACGTGGGATGTTTGTTATGGGATAGTATTAGAAAGTAATGTGTTTCAATAGATAAGCTATCAGTTAGATGAAAGTTCTAGGCAGAAATATGCATTTTATTCAGTAGTTTGCAAGCTGGAGGTTTTCCCCAAGTACTAATGAGATCACAGCAGAAAACCCACTTAATTTCCCTCTGAGTTGGGTCACTTCCATAAGCAGAAACTAGTGCACTTTATGGGGCTCTTAGAAACTTGTTTTGATTATTTCACTTCCTATTTTGGGCCTAGGTTATTTCATCAGTGAAACAGAATTATGGAGGTAAAACTCTCCTGAATGTACACCTACACTTGATATATGTATATATATTTTAAATATTGAAATACGTAGTTTCTGCAGATAATCTTGAAATTTGGCTGAGGATACACATTAGAAGAGTTCTTGGAATATAGTAAGCACTATTTAGATATTAGCTGTTATCATTGTGATTATTATTTTGATGATACCACTCAGTAGCTTAAGTGCTTAATAAAGAATTGATTTAGGCCGGGTGTGGTGGCCATGCCTATAATCCCAGCAATTTGGGAAGCCAAGGCAACAGGATCTCTTGAGCTTAGGAGTTTGAGATCAGCCTGGGCAGCATAGTGAGACCTCATCTCTACTTAAAAAAAAAAAAAAGTACCCAGGCATGTGGTGGTGAGTGCCTGTAGTCTCAACTATTCAGGAGGCTGAGATGGGAGATGGCTTGAGCCCAGGTGGTTGAGGCTGCAGTGAGCCATGATTGTGCCCAGAGAGCGTGTCCCTAAGAAAGAGAAACAACCTGTAATGAAGCCTTACTGCTAAATAGCTCACATTGGAGAGGATATCACGAATTCTTACATTTGATGTCATGCGTTGATAAAACATTAAAAAGTTAGACTCAGGTAGATATATGTAGACATGTGGATGTGGGGTTTGTTTTGTTTTGTTTGAGACAGGGTCTCAATCTCTTGCCCGGCTGGAGTGCAGTGGCGCCATCATGGCTCAACACAGCCTCAACCTCCCAGGCTCAAGCAATCCTCACACCTCAGCCTACAGAGTAGCCAGAACTACAGGCTTGCACTGCCACACCCAGCTGATATTTGGATTTTTTTTTTTTTTTTTGAGACGGGGTCTCACCCTGTTGCCCAGTCTTGGATGTGGAGTTTCAGGTTTTTTTGAAATGTTGGACCCTTATAGGAAATTGAGGCATCATCTGTGAAATAATTTTTCCATCACCAAAAGAGTTATACCAATCTCCTATTCTTTCAAAAAATGGTTTGCTAAATTGATCTTAACTATGTAAAGAAATGTCTTCAAATATCTGATGGCCTCTATGTACCACTAAAGAGTACCATCATGGTGTAAGTATAGCATATTTTTAAAAGTTTTTTAGGGGTTCAGAAAAGCTCTATAATATTTTTACTATTTGTATAAAATCTCAGTATATATGAGATAAACTAGAACTAGGTGTTGCTTACACACTTAAGCCAGATCTCATTTAGTCAAAGAATGAATTCAACTGTTTGACATAAAGTAGCTAGTTTTCATCAGTTATTACAAATACGTTTAGAGAGCACACCCAACACTCAGATATTGGTGTCTAATATTATTCCACAAGAAACCAGGGCTCTTTGGAGAAATGGCTGATCTCTAGGAGAAGACAGAGTAAGTATAAGATGAACCCGGAATGAAAATCTTATTGTGCCAGAAGGTAAGGAAGAACTAAAAACAAACAGATAAAAGCCAAAAAGAAGTACAGTCTTCTGTCCATATCTGCGGGTTCCCTATCCACAAATTCAGCCAATGAGGATTGAAAATATATTTTAAAAAAGGATGGTTGCATCTGTGTTGAACATGTACAGGCTTTTTTCTTGTTATTATACCCTAAACAATACAATATAACAACTACTTACATAGCATTTACATTGTATTAGGTATTATAAGTAATCTAGAAGTGATTTAGAGCAGTGGTCCCCAACCTTTTTGGCACCAGGGACCAGTTTTGTGGAAGACAATTTTTCCACAGACCAGGGTTGGTGGGGGGTGGGGGTGGTGTATTTTCAGAAAGATTCATGTGCATTACATTTATTGTGCACTTTATTTCTATTATTACTACATATTCACTGTAATGTAGAATCAGTGGTGGCCCTGAGCTTGTTTTCCTGAACCTGGATGGTCCCATCTGGGGGTGATGGGAGACAGTTGATGGATCATCAAGCATTAGCTTCACATAAGGAGCATGCCACCTAGATCCCTCGCAGTTCACAATTGGGTTCACGCTCCTGTGAGAATCTAATGCTGTTGCCAGATCTAATAGGAGGTAGAGCTCAGCTTCACCTACTGGTCTGCAGCTCACCTCCTGCTGTGCAGTCATGTTCCTAACAGGCCACGGACCAGTTCTGGTCCATGGTATGGGGGTTGGGGACCCCTGATTTAGCATAGACAGGAGGATGTGCACAGGTTATATGCAAATACTACACCATTTTGTAGTACCAAGGACTTGAGCATCCATGAGTTTGGTGTCCTCAGGGCTCCTGGAACAAATCCCCCAGGGATACTGAGAGATGACTATGTTACAGGGACATAGGATCCAGCTTGAGGGGGCTGCTACTGGTCAAATCTGGGCAATTGGAGCAGCAAAATAATGAAGTCCAGGGATGAATTATAAACCACAAAAACCACGATGAAATGTCTTCCTGCACCCTGATAATCATTTGATAGATGAATGGATACATAATGGGTACATAAAACAAAGATACATAAATGGATACATAAAACAAGGAAGGAACTCAGGAGAGGGGAGGCTACTGATCACAGTAGCATGCTCAGGATTGACTGACAAATGTTGAGGAAATGCTGGAGTTGAAAAATCAGGCTTTTGCAGCCATCATAGTAAAGATCTGCTGAGGAAAGAATCATCAGTGAATACTACATTTATATGATCAGAATTATCTTCATGGTCTTGAAGAGTCTCTTCCTAGACTTCATCCTAGATTCAGGGGGAAGATTAGTAATTGCACAGTGAAGAAATCAGAAAACACCTTGGCTAGAGACCCAAATTAACTTCATTAGTAAGGGGCAGATGAACATTGAATACCACCTGAGAGGCGATAACATCATCAATGCAGTATCCCCACCTGGGGATGCATAACCTGAATCTAATCATGAAGGTGTGTCAGGCAAACATGAAATGAGGAATATTCTGTTAGAATATAGGACTTTATTATTTATAAGTGCCAGTGTCATCAAAGAAAAAGGATGGCTAAAGAAATGTTTCAGATTAAAGAAGGCTAATGAGGCTTAACAATTAAAAACAATTCCTGAATCTAGACTGGATCCTGTACTAACGGAGAAAAGTAATATAATGGATATTATTGGGTCATGTGAGAAAACTGGAAGCATGGTGGTTGACTAAATAAGGGTGTGTTAGTCTGTTTTCACACTGCTGATAAAGACATACCCAACACTGAGTAATTTATAAATGAAAAGAGGCTTAGTGGACTTACAGTTCCATGTGGCTGGGAAGGCCTCACAGTCATGGCAGAAGGTGAAAGGCATGTCTTACGTGGTGGCAGGCAAAGAGAGAATGAGAACCAAGCAAAAGGGGTTTCCCCTTATAAAACCATCAGCTCTCATGAGACTTATTCACTACCAGGAGAACAGCATGGGGAACCTGTTGCCGTGATTCAATTATCTCCCACCTGGTCCCTCCCACAACACGTGGGAATTATGGGAGCTACAATTCAAGATGAGATTTGGGTGGGGACACAGCCAAACCATATCAAAGTGTTAATTGCTGAAGTTAATAATTATATTAAGTTATTGTATTGTGGTTAAGTAAGGCTATCCCTATGTGTAAGCAACATAAGCTGAGACGCTTAGGAGGAAGAGTCATGAAGTATATTACTTACCCTCAAATGTTTAATAAAACACACATATACATCCAATTAGAAAACAAACAGAATAAAATGTTAGTATATAAAGGAATATATGGCACTTTTTGTACTAGCTTCCTTTTTGTTTTTTTGTACATTTGAAATTATTTCCAAATAAGTTTAAAAAACACATTTATATCTTAAACCTATTTAAAAAATTTAACTCTGCCTGCCAAAATTATTTTGATGAAATAAGATTTTAGACCAAAATGAATATTCCTATATTAAATAATTCAAATTTGATAATAATTAGCATGTAGTATGCTACTTATGAAGCCAATTTTATTGCTTTTTAAATATTATTTTTAGATTTCTAAAAACACACCCTTGGAAAAACTTTATGTGTCATCTACGAGTTTTATATAGTATTGGAAAAACACTGATTAAACAATAGATAGACCAATAGATCAACTGATAAGTAATATTGTAAGGAAATCAGCAAAAGATTTTATTTAATTATTATTTCTCTTGGAGAACCAGCAATAAGATGATATTTTAAAAGACAATAAAAAAATTAATAAAAAATTCACTTTTTAACTTTATTTTCACTTTATTTACTTCACTTTTGCTTTTCACTATTTGTTTCTCATTTGAAAATTATTTACTATTGCCTGTAATAAGTGTAGTTAATATAACAGCTCTTATCTTAAACAAACATTGTACTGATGGTTGCAAAGGTACTAAAACATAACCTTTTTCACCCATAGACATAAGATTCCTTATCAGTTGTAACAAATACATCTTTTGTTCACAGATACTCCGTTAATAAGTGAATGTTTCTATTCCATTATTTACATTAAAAAGTTTCATTTGACTTTGCTAAATGGCACCCTGTGCTGCCCCAAAGATGAAAGCCTTAATGTGTTTCCTGCTTGGAGAATATGAAAAATTAGAGCAATTCTGGAATATTGCCACTTCATTTTCAACAGGACATCTAAAGTATTATCAGTGGTGTAATTTTAAAAGTATAGATCAACGATGGTTAAGCTCTTTAAATCCTTAGTTATCCTACATCCCACAACATTAATATTTTAAGGGGCAGCCATCCGACAACACATTTTGTAGGAAAAATAACAGATTCATAATGTTGTATTATTTATGTACAGTAGTCATCACTGTGAATTCTGTTAATAAAAGCAAATAGCATGCATTTATAGTAACTAAAATATTTTATTTATGAAATTATATTATAAAAATTCTCTAACACTATACATACACACAGTTAATTTTGTAAAAGCTAATTGAATTCAATTAGATTATATTATGGAAATTAGTAATAGTTAACATTATTTAATAGCCAATTCCTTGAAATAATTTGAAATCCAATTTGCCTTGTATAGCCATTTTCGTTTATTTAGTGTTGCTATAAAGGAATACCTGAGGCTGGGTAATTTGTAAAGAAAAGATGTTGATTTGGCTCATGCTTCTGCACATTGTACAAGAAGCTTGGCACCAGCGTCTGCTTCTGGTGAGGTCTTCAGTCTCCTTCCACTCATGGTGGGAGGTGAAGGGGATCAGGCATATGTAGAGAACATACAACAAGAGGGGAAGCAAAAAAGAGGGGAGAGGTGCTAGGCTCTTTTCAACAACTAGCTCTCCTGGGAATTAGCTCTCCTGGGAATCGAGAACACACTCATTACCATGAGAACAGCACCAAGACATTCATGAGGGCTTTGCCCCCATTACCCAAACATCTCCCATTTGGCCCCACTTCCAACACTGGGGATAACATTTCTACATGAGATTTGGAGGGTACGAACTGCAGCAATAGCTAACATTTGAAGCTATTTCTATCTAATCCAAATAGTCAGATAATTTAATAAATAACTCAAATAAATAAATTATTATCCATTTGATTCTAAACAATTATATTCAGTATTTATAAATCTCCAGATAATTGACAACCATTTTTATGTTCATTCTGATCTTTAAGTCTTGCATGCATACAATGTTTATAGTTTAAATTAAATAGTTTAAGTACATAGTAAGAAAACCTAATTGATTATACCTATTCTTTCTAGGCATTTATAATATGTCATCAATATTATCCATGTGTATTTACTTATATCAACTAGCTTTTAACTGCTTTTCTGACATTTGAATGGACACTATTTCTACTAATTCTCCAATTCAGAAAATTGAAACTTTTATATATCCATCAGTTACCTTGCTTAGACTCCAACACAATTTTGTTCATTGTTCCAAGGATCAAAGTTTCCTTGTGAAATGCGATTGTTCCCTGACCCACCTCTCAGGATGTGTGACAAGGGTGTGGCTCATCTGTTCGGTTGCTGCCGCTGCTAAAACCCCATATAGGAGGGGGAGTATGTAGACGGACAGGTGCAGGATCCCAAGTGGGCGTGTGTTACAGTGCGCTCTTTTAGCCTTGCTGTCCTTGGATGCCTAAGTGTTAAGCAGCTCAGTGGACCCTCTACCTTTTTGCTCGAGCAGAGGGCCAGTGTGACAGGTTTCTGTGTCCTGAATTCTTGTGTAGCATCCCAGAAGAATCAGGTCACACATGGACTTGAAGGATGGTGAATGTGGGGGTTTTATTGGGTGGTGGAGCTGGCTCTCAGCGGGATGAATGGGGAGCTGCAAAGGGAAAGGCGTAGGAAGATGATCTTCCCCTGGAGTTTGGCCATCCAACAGCTGATTCTCCGACCATCCCCAGCTAAATTTCTCCCGATGTTTCTTCTCTTCTCTCCTCTGCCGCTCTTCTGCTCTTCTCTTTGCCTGCTCCTCTCCTCCTGGAGCTAGGGGTTTGAGGTTTATACGAGTACAGGATGCGGCGGGGTGCAGGGGGAGGTTGTGGTGGGCCAAAAGGCAACTTTCGGGCACAGAAACAGGAATGCCTGTTCCCATCAAGGGCTGTGGGTATCCAGGCCTGAGGGTGGGGCCTTTCCCGGGGAACAGCCCTCTTCTACCCAGTATTTCCCTGTCTCCTGTCCATATCACTTGTTGTAGAAAAAATAATCCCCCATTAAATTAACTAAAACTAAATGTTGATATTCAGAAAAGCTACAGTGGAACACTGCGTTGTGCAGTTTTTATTAATGAGTCTCTCAGTACTGCTGAAATTTACTCCAACTGATACGGTTAGTTCCACTGTAGAGTTAACACATTTTATTCTATGGTTAATATTAAAGATGAGTTGAGAAGAATCTAAATGAAAGAATTAGGAGTTAAGCCATAATCTGGCACTATTGAATCAATAGATTTCAAACTTTTTTGGGTTGCAACTCACAAGATTTTTTTTTAACATATGATCACATACACATATGTAAAATTGACATAAAAGTTTCATAAAGTAATCCTTTTAATAGCTCTTTTTCACTCTGAAGTTTCATCTTTTCTGTTTACACGCACACAAACCACACATGATGGTCAAAACCCACTGAACTGATTTCATGATCTGCTGATAGGTTGCAAATCACAGTTTGAAAAACACTCATGGGAGATCAACTCTGTTGTTTATTGTTTATTAGATATAAAATGATTAAACACATTTATAAAATGAGATGACTGTACTAGTTACTCTCTGAATCGCTTAAATCAGGAATCTACTTTAAAAATCAATTTAAAGTCCCTGCTCATGGACGATTTTGCCTGCCTCCTGCACTGTTTCAGAAAAGCAGATCAAAACTAGTTCGTTCGGACCTTTTGATTCCTGGGTAATATTGTGAAGACTGGATATTGTGAAAAATTCCAAAGATAGATACATAGGCAGATAGATCAATAAATTAAAAGTATTTTTATTACAATGTCTGGTTTACTATATATGTGGAAACACTGACGGATATGCATATATGTGTGGGTGTCTAGTGAGTTCACACACTCATTAAACAAATGTTGATAAATTTATACCATGTGCCCATCACAATGCTAAAAAGTAATCACTATGTGGGCTGGGCGCAGTGGCTCACGCCTGTAATCCCAACACTCTGGGAGGCTGAGGCGGGCGGATTGTCTGAGCTCAGGAGTTCGCCACCAGCCTGGGCAACACGGTGAAATCCCGTCTCTACTAAAATACAAAAGTTAGACGGATGTGGCGGGCGCCTGTAGTCCCAGCTACTCGGGAGGCTGAGGCAGGAGAATTGCTTGAACTCCGGAGGCGGAGGTTGCAGTGAGCCGAGATCACGCCGCTGCACTCCAGCCTCGGCGACAGAGCGAGATGTCTCAAACAAACAAACAAACAAACAAACAAAAATCAGGCAAATTTTTGAGCACTTCAAGGGACTCCTATATGAAACTAAGACGTCTAAAGACCATGATTTCTGGAAACATTCTGGAATTGACATTTATGCCCTCTTCTGGAGAATGTAGTTTTACCAAATCTGGTCTAAGTCCAGCCTTGTTTTCACCGGTCATCTTTAAGGGTCTAAGCCAGGGGACAGTTTGGGGGTGGGAGTTGAGAGTGGGCCTGAGGAAAGCAGAAACTTTTTGAGGAACCGTTCACATTATTTTCCCTTAGTAACTTTGTCCCATAATTGCTCTAATATTTTGGAAATCTTTCTTCCTTTCAAGTACTTTGTTTTCACTTTTTGTAGATAGAGAATCATGAGAATTTTCAAACTGGAAGGAAAAATGCAAATCTTTCCATAAGCCTCTTTCAGTGCTTAATATTACGCATATTTCTATTTCTGCTACTTATAAATTATTTAGGCATATAGAATATTATTTTATCGTTCACAAAAAAATCCGATTATTTTCTTGACCCCTTCTTTTATTCATTCATTCAATATTTAGATAGCCAAAGAATTGTAATAGCCTGGTTAATGAGTTTCCTTGTCAATCTATACTTCTAGGGAAAAATCAGTGAATACAGGCTTTTTCATCTTTTCTTATTTTAAATGTGTTTATTTAAAAAGTCTTTCTTCTGGCTGAGCACAGTGGCCCACGCCTGTAATCCCAGCACTTTGGGAGGCCAAGGCAGGTGAATCACAATGTCAAGAGTTCGAGATCAGCCTGGCCAATATGGTGAAACCCTGTCTCTACTAAAAATACAAAAAAATTGGCCAGGCGTGGTGACACACACCTGTAATCACAGCTACTCAGGAGGTTGAGGGAGGAGAATTGCTTGAACCTGGGAGGCAGAGGTTGCAGTGAGCCGAGATCACACCACTGCACTCCAGCCTGGGCGACAGAGTGAGGCTCCATTTCAAAAAAAAAAAAAAAAAAGGAAAGAAAGAAAAAGAAAAAGAAAAAAAAGTCTTTCTTGAGCACCTACTATGTGCTGCTTGGAATAGAGTACACAAAGAATAAGCTAAAGTCTGTGTGTAAGGGCCCATTGTTTACAAATACAGTGTTCTGGCTCAATTTGCCTAATAATGCTGTAAAAATGCTATCTAGTTCTTACAGAATTGGAAACCATCACTCTTTTTAATAGTTCATAATATTGTGTAAGCAAAGTTGTCGTATATTGATGAAAATCTACATAACATACACTAATAGTTTAACTCACTTTGGAATTACACAGAGAGCTTGTTAAAACACAGATTGTGGCTTTACCCCTCAGTTGCTGATTCAGCACGTATGGGGTGGGATCTAAGAATTTGTATTTCTAACAAGTTCCCAAGTGAGCCTGATGTCGATGGTCCTAGAAACACACTTCGATTTAAATCAGGGCTCCATAAACTAAAGCCCAGGGGCTAAATCCAGCCACCACCTGTTTTGTAAGAAAAGCTTCACTGGAACACAGCCACGGCCATTTCTATTGTCTCTGATGGCTGCTTTTGTGCTGCTGTAACAGAGTTGAACAGTACGGACAGAAGAGATCTTATGACCTACAAAACCTAAACTATTTACTACCTGGCCCTTTACAGGAAAAACGTTGCCAACCTCTGATTTAAATGATCATTGTATTTTCATGTGGGATTCTTATTTAAAACTACTTCTGTGATTTTGAGTTAAATGTTGTCTTGACAATCACAAATTCAAAGCAAGAATTACTTGTTTAATGTTTGTTTGAGATATTGAATATGCAGTTTTTAAAAAAGGATTTAACCAGTTTCCATAAAATGTTGACTAACAAGTAAAATAGAAATTCTTTTTCACTCCTACAAAAGGCGACTATGCCAGTAAGAAAAATAGAATAAATAATACAATTTGAAGAGTGAAGTAGTTTGATAGCCAGACCTAACTATATTATTTGACATATCAACCTCAAAATTCTAGATGTTTCATCAACCAACATGTTCTCAGTTGGCAAGAATATTGAGATAGTGGTTGTTTTCACAACAATTTTTTTCTGAAATGAATAATGGTTCTATTTCTTTCAGAATAAGTGACTTTCAGATATTTTTTCAGATATCGTTCTTTCAGATAGAAAGTGACTGTATGGTATCAGATGTGAAATTTGTTCTTTTAAAATTAATCAAGAACCAAGTATAATTCATAAAGCTGTCAGCTTTGAGGGAGTACCACAGCTAATGAAACTCTCCAGGAGGTCCTACCAGCTCTGCCACTTGGTGGTGGATCAGTGATGCATTGTGTCTGATCTGTGGTTAATTAGGGTGCTGAATTGAGGCTATTTAAGACCCTGGAAGAGGCCTCCTGTGTTCTTGGAGAGGCCTTGACTGTGTTCTTGGAGAAAAGCTGTTACTTCCAGCAAGAACTTATTCTCTTTTTGAGGAACATTTTCTAGCTTTACTATTAGAACTTTATTGGTTAGTTTGAGTGCCTATGGTGGTTTTAAAGTATGGCCACAGGTTATTTGATATTCTTCTATTGAAAGGTGGTGTCTATGTCCCTTGCTCTTAAATCTGGGTGAGCTGTGACTGTGTTGACAAATAGAGATTAGTGGAAGTGATGGTATGTAATTTATGTAATTTCCAGGACTAGGTCATAAAAGGTCATGCAGCTTCTGCTATGCGGCTGGAGCACCTGCTTTTGGCATTTTAGCCTACCACCTAAGACATCCAGATTCACCCAGGGTCCATGCTTGAAGAAGCCAAAATCACATGGAGAGACTACACAAAGCACTTTTGTTAAAGTCCCAGCTGCACCCCAGCCTTCAAGTCATCCCTGCCTAGGCGCCAGACATGTGCATGAAGAAGCCTCTGGATGATTCTAGCTTTGAGCCGTTTGTGTATTCTTTGCTATTCAAACATTTTCAGCTGAGATCACAAGCATTACGGAGAAAAAACAAAACAAAATGATTCAGTATATATCCAATATGAATGGTGTCCTTATAAGAAGAGACACCAGTGGTACAAGTGTACAGAGGGATGGCCATGTGAAGAGGCAGCAAGAGGGCAGCAGTCTGCAAGCCAAGGAGAGAGGCCTCAGAGGAATCCACCCTGCCAGTGCCTTGTTACTGGACTTTTAGCCTCCAGAACTGTGAGAAAATAAATTTCTGTTGTTTAAGCAAACAAATAAACAAAAAACTATCTAAACTGTACAGTCTCTGAATTCTTGAGCCATAGATATGTGACTATTCACAGGTAATTTACTAGGTAGCAATAGATAACTGGAACAAAATTTGGCATTAGGAGTGGGGTGTGGTATAAAAAAGACAAAGCCAAATAAAAAGAAACCTAAATGATGGGGCATTGTTTTGGGGATAGTGCTGTGGATGGAAGTCTGACAGGCATCAAGGAGGCTGTTTGTCAATGTTTCAAGAAAAGCAAGGAAATTTCTACAGAAAGTGGAAGGAAAAAGGACCCTTGTTACATAATGGTGGAAAGTTGTCAACACTGCTGTTTGCAGCGTTGTGGAAAATTGATGATCTAGTTAAGGAGATTTCCAGGCAGAGTATTGAAGCTACAACCTGGCTTATTTTTTCTGCCTATTATAAAATACAAGCAAAGAGAAATAAAATAAGGAACACATTTTCATTTTCAAATATAATTTAGAAGAAAAATGGAGGGATCAGAATGGTCTTTTCAGCCAGTAAAGGGCAATACAAGGAGGAACTTCAGGACAAAAATTAAATCTAGTTCAATTTTTACATGTTGTCAGTAAAATGCAGTGTCAGAGTAAAGAAAAAGGCACAGTGGAAGAAGCAGGAGAATGATACGCCTATAAGAACAGACAGGAGTGGTCCTTGACTTATTTTAGCAATAACTCATACATTGCCCTTATTCTTGCCTACTACCATTTTATGTTTGGTAAGTTTTTGCTTTTGTAAATGATAATTTCACTAGCTTTACTTTGAACTCACTTTTATTATCCTGGAGATGTAGAACCAACAGGGAAGCCTTCAAACTACATGTATTTGTATGACTTATGGTCTGACTATTTTAGGGAAGGTAGTGTTAGAACTCAGGCTGAAGCATCTGAAAATTGGTTGGCCATACTTCAGTTTTCTCAAGGGAGTGGATAAGTTTATGACAGTAGTTATTTGGAAATCATGTTTCTTTATCTAAATCGTTTTTAAAAGGTTCATGAAGGATGTATGCATTTATTCAGGAAAGAAAAAAAATATTTTAAACTCCACAAAACATATCTTTTTCCTCCCTTCTCTTCTCTACCCACCTTACAAGCTAACAAATTACATGTAAAAGACTGTGATAATGAAACTGAAAAAGTGTGTGTTTGTGTGTGTGTGTAAGACAGAGAGAGATAGAAAGTGTGTGTGTATCATAAAACACTAGTTATGTTTTTATGGCAATGATTAAAAATAAGCATTTTGTTGGATAATTAGTATAGGAAATATTACATACTAAATATGTAAGATAGTTAATGCTGTAATCAGATATCTCATCTTTGAAAATTTCTTTCCTAAATATTAAAATGTAGAATCAAAAGAAATGTAAATTCTACATCCCAAATAGCAGAGACTTACAAACCAGCAGTGCAGTGCTAACCTTAGAATTCTAAGCATTTTAAAGTTATTGAATAATCCTGATAATATCAATGAGTTGTGTAATTGATTAATATATAGGTGTGAATCTCAAATCATTGATGATTTAGTAAGAGTTCTCAATGTTCAATTTAGCAAGTAATAATGGACCGAATTGTTTAGTCATATTGTCATTGGACCATTCACATATATGATACTAGTATTTATAATATAATAACACAGTATCTGATATCAGGTATTAATAAGTGCTTTTTAAGATAGGTAATTTAAAATTGACATTAAGTAACTGATATTTAATGGTGAAACTCATTAAATTTCCATTAACTGAGGAAACTTACATTTTGCTTTGCATGTAGAAATGAATGTTGTAAGTACCAGTCTACAGTGGTCTTCTGCCAAAATTATCCATGATTAATATGTTTGCAAACCAGTCCACCATATCAATCACAGTAAAATGAGGTAAGAGATAAAGGAAACAAAGAGATTATCTTGTTGAAATGTTTACAACCCTAAGCTTTAGAGAGCCTAAGTGATTTGTTTGAGGTCCCTCAGATAATTGTAATATAAATTCCTTAATTTAAAATTAGATTGTATTACAAAACATTAATCTTGCTAATTTTATTGATTGAAATATAAATTTAAAATAATGTAAAAAGTGTTCTCATGGTGGACAGAAAAGGAAACAAACAATAGAATACATTATGCTCCACCTCGAGAACTTTGTATTTGAGATGAAAACGTAGAAAACTATTTTTAACATGGTAAATTTTAAAAATAGCAAAGCAATATTGTCTCCAGTTTGTTTTCTGTTGTCATAATAGATTACCACAGACTGGATAATGTATAATGAAAGAAGTTTATTTGGTTTATGGTTCTGGGGGCTGGTAAATCCAAGAACACAGTGCCTCATCTGGTGGCCTTTGTGCTATGTTGTAATATAGAGAAAAGCATCATATGGTGAGAGGGCAAGAGCACAGGAGACAGAGAAGAAGGAAATCAGGCTAAACTCATCCTTTTATCAGAAGCCCACTCCTATGATAATGGTATTAATCCATTCATGAGAGCAAAGCCCTTGTGATGTAATCATCTCTTAAAGATCCACCTCTTAATATCCTCACAATGGCAATTAAATTCCAACATGAGATTTGGAGGGGACATTCAAAGCATAGCAAATATTACATTTTAAAAATGTAGCATTATCTTGAATGTTTATGCTTAATCTGAGGAGTTCCTAAGTTAGCACCTTCTTTCTTGCCCATGGCTCTGAACATTTTGATAAATAAAACGGCAAATATTAAATCAATGTTACTGATAGAGACCAGGTTGGAAGATCTGCTTTGGTGTGAGATGCAAGTGTGATTTCTAACACTGAGCAGTAGAATTAGACAGTCTTACAGACCTAAGCACTAATTCCTCCTACATTTAAGAAATTTATGGCAGGGTACAGTGGCTCTTGCCTGTAATCCCAGCACTTTGGGAGGCTGAGAAGGGTGGATTGCTTGAGCGCAGGAATTTGAAATCAGCCTGAGCAATATGGCAAAACCCTGTCTCTACAAAAAAATGCAAAAATTAGCTGGGCATGGTGGCATGTGCCTGATTCGGGAAGCTGAGGTGGGAGGATTGCCTGAGCCCAGGGGAGGTCGAGGCCACAGTGAGCCATGATCATGCCACTTCACTCCAGCCTGGGTTACAGGGTGAGACTCTGTCTGGGAAAAAAAAAAAAAGTGCAGAGCCCCCATAGAGTCAGAAGTACCAGGAAGAGTGTGCTGTAAATATGCATAAATTTCCACTGAAACAGAAAATTCCTCCACTATTTTATATATCCCAATGTGCAAAACATGACTGTAGCAATGGAATCCATAGAATGCTTTTGTACGGAATAATAGATGACAAATCTAACAATAGAGGTTTGTAGTTTCCTATAGTACTGGGTACCTGGGACTATAGGCTTGCACCATCATGCCCTCCTAAGCTTTGTATTTTTATTTATTTATTTATTTATTTATTTATTTATTTGTGTAGAGACAGGGTTTTGCCATATAGTCCAGGCTGGTCTTCAACTCCTGGGGTCAAGAGATCTGCCAGCCTCAGCCTCCCAAAGTGCAGGGATTACAGGCGTGAGCCACCAGACTCTGCACTTTTTATTGCCATTGATCTGTGTTACAATACCTTTGTTGTAGATAACTGATAGCGATGCAAAATAATTCTTGTTTATAGCCATGCAAACATATTCTATTAGGTGATGTTAAAGAGATTTTTTTTTCTCTGTACTATGGAAGAAGCAATTTTGCCTTTATTTGCATGTTCATTTCAGTATTTCTGATTTATAATTGTGATTATTCTTTGGATTATCTGAACAGATTTTAACATCTTACCAGCTCCCTCATCAATAATGAGTTACATAAAAATTTCCACATATGTTCATTTTTTATCTGCATAAGACTCAGAATTTTACCTTTTAAAAAATCCTTTAAAATAGAAATGAGTTTTCACTTTTGTGATTCTTAAAATATCATTTTCTCCTTTTTTCAAAACAAAATTATTTTAAAATATATTTTCTACTGGGAACGTGAATTAAATACAAATAAATGTAGGAGCAATAAAATTCAAATGGTAATGAAAAGATATAAGTACAACTTTAAATCACTGAGGGATGAAAGAGGCGTAACACTATCTCTGCAACTCTGCCAGTGAACGTGAAGGTAAGGAGCAACCAACGTATGTACCAATGTACATACATTTTACCTTGTAACCAATGTAAGCAGAATCAGCGCAACATATACACGCCTATTTTAAGTGTAACTCTTATTTTTTGAGATGCAAATGAAGCTAGACTTTATTTTCCCTTGTGCAATAAGACCTTAGCAATAATCAAATACAACCATTGTTCTTGAAAAGATATTTGAAAACAAACTATGAATATTTTAAAGGAAAGACAGTGGAAATTTCATATCAAAAAGGAAAAAATAGAGGGGAAGCCTTGGTTAGGAGGAGTAGAAATAGACAAGTAAATAACTGGATCACATTATCCTTGCCCTAAAGGATTGGGAGTTTAGCAGGAGAGAAAAACATACAGTCATATATCACTTCATGATGGGGATGCATTCTAGGAAATGCATCATTAGGTGATTTTATCATTGTGCAAACATCATAGAGTGTAGTTATACAAACCTAGATAGTATAGCCTACTACACACCTGGGCTATATGGTAGAGCACATGGCTCCTAGGCTAAAAACCTGTGCAGCATGTGTCTGTACTAAATACTGTAGGCAGTTGTGACACAATGATATGTACTTGTGTACCTAAACATAACTAAGCACACAGAAAAGGTACAGTAGAAATACGGTATTACAGTCTTACAGGACCACTGTCATATGTGTGATCAGTTACTGACCAAAATGTCATTATGTGGCAGATGACTGTACCGAGAAATAATTACAAAAAGGCAAAATATTGTATTAGTTTCCTGTGCTGTTGTAACAAATTACCAAAACTTAGCAGCTTAACATAAAATTTATTATCTCACAGTTTGATAGATCTAAAGTCCAACATGGATCTTGCCGGGCTAAAATCAAGGTATTAGGAAGGCTGCATGGTCTACTGGAGCCTCTGAGGAAGAATTTGTTTTAAAATGGCTTCAGGTTATTGGCAATATTCAGTTCTGGGTGGCTGTTAAACTGGGATTATTTTTCCTTGATAGCTGGCAGTGGGGTCTTTCTCAGCTTCTAGAGACCACCCACATTCCCTAGCTCATGGCTGCCTTCATTGCTAAAGCCAGCAATGGCAGGTCAGGTCCTTCTCACACTTTCATTTTCTCTGATCCCTCCTGCCTCATCTCTCCTGCCTTACTTTTCTACTTTCCTCCTTGGCTTTTAAGATCTCATGTGATTACCTTGGGCCCAACCTACCTTGAGGTCAGCTGATAGTAACCTTAATTACATCTGCAGAGTCCCTTTAGCACAGTGCCTAGATTCATGTTTGAATAACTTGCTTTGGGGAATCTTGGGACAGGAGACATCTATATAGAATTATGACTACCATAGATTGTGTCGATACTCATGTTATATATAGGGCACATGCAAAGCTCTACGCCAAGATGCTAGTGACTACACTGAGGTCACTGAAATTGTCATTGCAATGCCTGTCACTTTTAGCAATCTTTTTGCCACCACTGGAGTGATTGTCTTCAGCACAATTATGCCTATCAAACTAGTATCAAGAATTTTGATATTTTGGGTGCTAACCATCCTAGGGAGGGTATTTAGAAAATGTCCATTTTAGCTTTACTCTTTCTTTTTGCAGCCTCCTTGTCCTTGAACTCAGGCAGGAGTCCTCAGGCATTTGGCTAGAGAGCAATCTAATATAAAAATCCTACGCATAATGTTTTCCGTTTGACAAGTCCATTATACTTGAAACAATCTTCTACTGAACTATCTTTTTTTCCCCTTAAGAATGAGTTCGCCAGAGGCTTCTTAGACTTTCACGTAAACAGACTCGTGCCATTCCTACCACCTAAGACCTATAGGCTCTGCCAGACAAACATAGATCCAGGACAAACATAGATCCATCTTAAACGGAAATGCTTGTTACACAATGCTGCAAAGACCTACAATGGAACCTCCATTTTCCTCAGAATTGGAGTATAGTTTCTTCGAACTTCCCAATTCATGGTCTGTGAAAAATTCAACACCCTCGCCATGATTTCTGCAAATTATCTTCCAGCTTACTTCTTCACGGTCCGTCTCTTCCCTCTCCTATGTTTGGGTATATTGATCAGTTAGGACCTGCTTTAGCAGCGTGTAACAGAAATGCAACAGCAATGGCTCAGTCAAATAGGGGAGAATTTTTCCCAGTCTAGCTCCACAGGGTCATCGTTGACTCAGACTCTTTTCATCTTTCTGGTCCTCTATTTTCATTATCCTCCTGCTTGCCAGGTGGCTGCTGCACCGGTAATAGCCTGATCATACTATTGGCAGGAAAACGGGAAAAGGAGGAATTGAGGAGTCACCTACATTAGGAAACCCAAATCCCTATCAGTCCATCACTCGCGTCTCATTGATGAGAACTGTGTACCTGGGTACAATTTCACCCTGAACAAATGAGGTTCTATTAATAAATAAGAACGAGGGGTGGGTATTCGTCAGGTATTCGTAGTGGCTGCTCCAATAGGTGCCTTCTCACTTCTAATTTAAACCAACATACGCAAACAGGCCTGTCACGTGTCAGTTTCCACTAAAGGTCGCTCCGCGCCAAACATTCCAACTGTCTAATAATTTTGCTGAAGACCTGAGGTTTCATCAGGAATGAGGCAGTTTCTCAAACATCTTGTTGGCTCCACTTACCATGCTTTCTTACCCCTCAATTCACACAAACAGAGCCACTCCATCTAACACAGGGTTCCTAAGATGAAGGCCTACGCCAGCCAGACATTAATAATTCCTCACTCTGTTGCATACATGGCACTTTGATATAAAAATATATTTTAACAAGGAGGAAATATTCATACTCTTCATATACATTCTCAAACAATGTATGTTCCACATTCACATAATTGCTATCTCCAGGAAGTTGATCTCACAGTCCTATTGAGAAAAACTGTTGTCATGTCTTAAAGGAAGCAGCTTCTTAAAACTATTTCCTTGAGCTTAAATAGATTTTTTTAATTCTGGAAGAATAAGGTTGTAGCAGCTTGATCGTAGAGAATCTGAAAGTATTACATTAGAAGTTAGGAGACTGGGTCCTATTTTTTGCTGTAACTGCTGTAAGAAGTTACAGATGTTGTGTCTGTTTTGATCAATATGTGCCTTTTCTGTAAAATAGAGTAGGTCAGCGTGTATAAGTTCCAAAAAGTTCTGAGTTGTGAGAGATCAAATACTTGTATTATTATTACTATTACTATTATTATTATTAATTATTATTATTATTATTTTGAGATGGAGTCTCACTCTGTTGTCCAGGCTGGAGTGCACTGGCGTGATCTCAGCTCGCTGTAACCTCTGCCGCTCGGGTTCAACCAATTCTCCTGCCTCAGCCTCCCTAGAAGCTGGGATTACAGGCGTGCACCACCACGCCCGGCTAATTTTTGTATTTTTAGTAGAGATGGGGTTTCTCCTTGTTGGCCAGGCTGGTCTTGAACTCCCGTCTTCAGATGATCCACCCACCTCAGCCTCCCAAAGTGCTGGGATTACAGGCGTGAGCCACTGCGCCTAGCCAAGATCAAACTCTTGTAATCAGCTGTTGCTTTAAGAGAAAGGAGGAAGAAAATAAGCAAAGGAAGATGGGGATGGGAGGAGAGAATAATAGGGAAGCAGAGAGGCAGGCCAGGAGAGACAGGAAGTGGGAACAGAATGAACAGAAGTGGGGAGAACCCAGTTGCTCAGTTATAACGTAAGAGTAGGAATGACCAAATGAAAAATGCAGCTACCTTGTATTCTCCTTTTGACTATGACTACATAGTTATTTCCGTCTTGATCAATTTCTGAAAAAGACTTTGATACACCCACTCTGTGCCATTGTACATGCTGTTTCTTCAGCATGAGGACATCAGTTCATATCGGCAAGCATTCCTTCCTCTATCACTGTGCCTGGCTTATTCCTAGCCACTCTTCCAAATCGGCACAGAAAACACCACCTCAGCAGTGGAGCTTTCAAGCCTTTGACTGCCCCCTAAATTCATACCCATTTTGAGCTATGAGCTTCTCTATGTGCTCTTGTAGTTCCTTATGATAGCTTCTTCTATCAGACTTACCTTTATATACAAGTGTATTCATTTATTCTGTAAAGCATTAGGTCAATGGAGTTTATTGAGTAGATATTATGAAGGAAAGCACTGTGATAGGTACTAGGTTCAAAGATAAATAAGGTAGTGTTGCTTCCAAGGACTGAATATTCTACCAGGAGAAATAACTTAAAGGGAAAGATAAATGCTGTAATAATGATATGCATGTAATTCCATGGAAGCTAAGAGGAGAGGTGCATAGACAAAGCTAAAGGAGTCAGAGGAAGCTTTCCAGAGAAAACTCCTAAAAATAAGAATAATCTAGCAAAAGAGGAAGCACTAGCAGCAGGCGTGCCAAGTAGAGGGCACAGCATAGGCAAAGGATGAGAAAGAGAGAAAAGGCACAACTCGGGCTGTGAGAAGTCACTCTACTGCAGGAAAGAGCTGTCCTGGTAGTGGTGAACAAGGGACATTTATGGCAGGGTATGTGTACAAATTCCAAGTTTATCCTAAAACCTATGGAACCCACAGAGAGGTTAAACTGTCAGGGGTGTGACATGATCACACTACAAAACCATGGATGCTACAAAACTCATTTAATTTTTTTTTGAATTGTTGATTTAAAAAATACTGAATTAGAAACACATATTTCCTTCTATGTCTTGCCTACTATACAATGAATTTCTTTGAAGGCAGGGATAATGTTTTATTTGCATCTTTTCGCTCAGCAAAGCTTCAGCACATAGTAGGTAGGCATTTAATAAATGTTTGTTGAATGAATAATAATAAGTGAAAATAAGTGAATTTAAAAAATGAATAGGAGAATTTGGGTGAAAAGTAATATTGTTAAATACACTCATGGATGCTGTTAAATTGCACACAGGATGGGAAAGGCTAAAATACTTCTATCTATCTAAAAGCTAAAACAACTCTGAAGCTGCAGTGACTTGAGTCATGAAGCTATTTTTTAAACCATTAATTTCTTTTTTAAGATGGGGTCTTGCTCTGTTGCCCAAGCTGGTGCAGTGGTGTGATCATGGCTCAGCACAGCCTAGACCTCCCAGGCTCAAGCGATCCTTCCACCTTATCCTCTGTCAAGGAGCTGGGACCCCAGGCATATGCCACCACGCCTGGTTAATTTTTAAATTGTATTTAATTTTTTGTAGAGATGGGGGTCTCCCTATATTGCTGAAATTCCTGGCCTCACACAACCCTCCCATCTCGGCCTCCCAAAGTGCTGGGATTACAGAGGTGAGCCACCATGCCTGGCCTATTAAAGCCTGAAATCTTGAAAGTAAATGTCTTTACAATATGGTGAATAGGAATTGTTAATGAGTTTAGAGAAGAGGCAGATGTGAATTGTTAGAAGGTATTTTCTTCCTAATGCTAATAGGCAAATACTAATATGTAAATGGCATTTAATCAGTAAACTGTAATGTTAACGATATCATTTTTAATTAAGGAAAAAAGTATCCTTGGCTAGGACAGGTGTATTTTTTGAAATATTAATCCTACATTTTATGTCACATTTATATTCTAGATTTTAAATCAGCCGTATGACCCATCTTGTGCTACTTCTAGGATGGTGTCTAGGAGTAAGTAGTAACCAGCTTCCATGTTTTAAATTTCAACCATATTTCAGGAAGGATAAATGCAGGCAAAAATAGTAAGTGGAGAATTGCTATCATCTCTCTTAATTAACTATACCAACAGAAGCCTAGTTATTGAAGACTGTGGATCCCTAACTAAGATTGAACCATGTATTTCATGTCATAGGATATTAAACTGCAGGCCCAATTCTTAGGGAATAAACAGTTTCAAGATAACTGATCTTGAAAACTCACACCTATAAAATATAGTAAATTTTATACATGGTTTTAATCTTTATTGCAAGGATCTCCAAATGCATTATGGACAGATTAATCCTCATAACCTTTATTTGGGAGATGGCAAGTATTGTCTTCATCTGATAGAGTGAAAAATTGAGTCATCTAGGATCTTGGCTTGCATCCAGTCGCAGAGCTGGAACGTGAAGAGGAAGGAGAAAAGGATGTTAGATCTGCTGCCACTTGGTTTAGAGCTTTAGTCACTAAAGTTTGGCAGCTATCTAGGTGGTAAATTATAAAATTAATTTTCTTCTGAAATTCATTCTTGACAGATGTTTTCCCATTGGTAGATTTCAAAATGTATACTGCCTAGGAAAGAAATATTTTTTCTCCTCCTAGGATTTCTTCTAGTTGAATTGGAAAATGTTGTTGGTGAAAACAACTTTGCTGTTTCATTTTTTTTAAGTTAAATGAATGCAACATTTAACAAAGCTTGTGTTTTAAAAGCCCACTTTTCATACTTCAAGCTAATATTTTGTTTTTTTTAAATTAACTATCTTAATTAAAATGCCTAATAAATTACATAGTTAATTGCTATGCAATTCAATATGTAGCTAAATACTATGTAATTTAACTGTAAATATGATATATGTATACATGTGATGTATGTTATATATATGTGATTTAATTTTATTTAAATTTAATAGTATAAATTTATTTCTTATTTATAATTTTATATAAATTAAATTTCAACCATATTTCAGGAAGGCTAAATGCATGCAAAAATAGTAAGTGGAAAATTGCTATCATCTCTCTTAATTAATTAGCCTAGTTATTCAGGACCATGAATTCCTAAGATTGAACCACATATTGGGTTTTTTTTTTTTCAAGACAGGGTCTCATTCTGTTGCCCAGGCAAATATATGTAACCATATTCATATATAACTATAAATGTAATATATGTATGATGTAAAGATGTATGTGTGTATGATAAAAAACAGTAAAACCAACACCCATATATCGAGCATTCAGCTTCAGAAATGCATTACCAATAACTCTGAAGCTCTCTTTCTTCATTTCTGGGGGTAACCACTGAATGATGTGTTTATCATTTCCTTGATTTCTTTATAGTCTTTCTACATATGAACCTATACCCTAAACAAAAAACAACATATTGTTGAGTTTCATCTGTTTTTGAATTCTATATAAATGGGATTATACTATATGTATTCTTTGACGTGTTTATGCCATTTTAACTCCAGAACTTAATTTCATTACATATATACCACAATTTATTTTTTCATTCTTGTGTCAGTTGCCATTTAGGTTATTTCCCTCTTTTTTTTTTGCTATTGCAAACAATGCTGCCATGGAAATTTCTGGAAGCAATTCTTGCCTTACCCTGTGTTCTCATGAAAGCAGAACTTGATCCACTTGTATACAGATAGTTTATTTGGAAAGTGATCTTAGGAAATAGGAGTGAGGAACCAGGGATATGAAACAGATGAGAGGAAACCTATAGAGGATGTTGTCTTTTTTGACTGAATATGTGTGTCTTTCCAAAATCTGTATGTTGAAGACCCAACCCCCAGTGTGACTATATTTGGAAATTGGGCCTCTAAGGAAATAATTAAGGTTAAAGGAGGTCATAAGACTGAAGCCCTCATCCTATAGGATCAGTGTTTTCATAAGAAGAGACAGCAGAGAGTTGTTTCTTTCTCTCACTCTCTGACATAAAAGGATATAGTAAGAAGGTGGCCATTTGCAAGCCAGGAAGGAACCAAATCAGCAGGCACCTTGATCTAACACTTCTAGCCTCCAGAAGTGTGAGAAAATAAATTCCTGTTGTTTAAGCCACCCAATTTATGGTGTTTTATTACGGCAGCCTGAACCAATTAAGATATTGTCCATTGCAGTGGACACAGGTGTAGTGGGTACTTGCAATTTTATGTTGGCTCTGAATCCATTTTGAGTATAGGGTTAACTGTCTTCTACTAGAAACAGGATTTAGTCACCCTTGATGCAGTTTTCAACTCTCTGCCTCCTGCCAGTTCCTCAATGTGGTCGATCTAGATATCTGCCCTATATACCCACCTCCTGTTAACCACTTCCCTATGAAACAGAGAGATCCAACCTACTGGACTCATCACACTGACACTCATACCTCTCATGGAATATGCAGATGTGCCACAGTGATCACTTCTAAGTCACGGTGTGGCCTCATGGGTCTTATGTCTAATTCCATCAATTAGAATTCCTCATGGGAAATCTGCTTGGGTACCCTGCACCCCAATAAAGGCCTCAGCCTGCATCAAGGGTGACTAAATCCTGTTTCTAGTATGAGACAGTTAACCCTATACTCAAAATGGATTCAGGTCTATACTTAGACCTTATATAGTTAGCTGTATACTCAAATGGATTCAGCCTACAGATCTACCTCTCTCTGCCTCTCCGTCTTCTGGTTGAGCACAATTCCCCTGAGATCTTCCCATCAGCCTTGATTAGTAACCCCCTTCTCTCTTGGACCTGTAAGTAATAAACGACTTCTGTTATTTCGTGTATTTTGTTGTGTGTCTTCTCTGTGTCTCTCCTGACTGACACACTTGGATGCAAATTTCCTCCCAGTCATAGTTATTTTTCTAGAGATTGGCTATCTTGGCACAAATATTATACAGGTCAGACAGGAGCCACATGGTACCTGCCAGTATAAACAAATGTCCTGTGAGGACATCTGGTCATGGGCTAGACATTAGGCAGTCCGTCAGGATAAAGAAGTATCTGGGAAAGGCACACTGAACTTCTATAACCAAATCCCTGGGGTCTTCATCAGGATAGGGCTAGAGTTTATGGCTATTCTCAAGACAGGCACCTCAAGACCAAATTAGGAAGAAATGAAACAAAAATGTTTCATTTGTGTTGATGTTCTCTGGAGGGAATTTTTTGAAAGACTAAACTGCATAAAATAAACACAAATACACGTATATTGTCTTTTATGTTTACCTGTGTATTAGTGTTATTGGTATTCTTTCTTCATGTGAATTAGAGCTAGTCTAATATCCTTTCATTTCAGCCTGAAAACCTTGTTTTTGTATTTCTTATAGGGTTGGTCTGTTAGAGACCAGTTTTTAAAGTTTTTGCTTATCTGAGAATTCCTTAATTTACCCTTTGTCTTTTCAATGTAAATTGCGCTGAACATAACATTCTTCACGGACAGTCTTTTTCTTTTAGCATTTTGAATACAATAGCCCTCTCTTATCCATGGTCTCACTTTTCACAGTTTCAGTTACCTATGGTTAACTGCAGTCTGGAAATATTAAATGGAAAATTGCAGAAATCAACAATTCATAGGTTTTTAATTGCACACCGTTCTGAATAGAATGATGAAATCTTGCACCATCCTGCTCCATCCCACCCAGTACACAAATCATCTTTTTTTTGGAAAGTATCCATGATGTACACAGTACCTGTTCATTAGTCACTTAGTCGCAGTCTCAGTTATCAGATCAACTGTAGTAATAACGCAGTATTTGTGTTTAAATGACCCTCGTTTAACTTAAAATGTTCCTAAAGCAGAAGGGTTGTGATGCTGGCAATTTAGATATGCTAAATAGAAGCCATAAAGTGCCTTCTTTAAGTGAAAAGCTGAAAGTCCTTGACCTGATATGAAAAGAAGAAAAATTGTGTGCTGAGGTTGCTAAGATCTACGGTAAAAACTAATCTACGTATGATATTGTAAAGAAGAAAAGAAGAAATTTATGCTAGTTTTGTTGTTGCATCTCAAACTGCAAAAGTTACAGTGCTTACTTAAGACAGAAAAGGTATTACATTTGTGGTTAGAAGACATGAACAGAAACGTATTCCAATTAACAGCAAGAGAGTTTGGTATTATTTGCAGTTTCAGGCATCCACTGGTGGTCTTGGAATATATCCCCTGTGAATAATGGGAGACTGCTCTGTACAATTCCATAGTCTCCTGGCTTCATGATTTCTGATGGGAACTCATCTGTTAATCTTCTTGAAGATTCTTTGTACATGATGAGTTGCTTCTTTGTTTTTTTGACAGTTTGATTATGATGTGTCTAGATGTGGATCTCTGAGTTTATTCTACTGTGAATTTGTGGAGATACTTCTATTAGGAGGTTAACATTTTTCATTAAATCTGGGAAGTTTTCAGCAATTGTTTCTTCAAATATTCTTTCTTCCCGTTTATCTCTCTCTTTTCCTTCTGGAACTTTCATTATGCATGTGTTTGCAATGCTTGATGGTGTCTAACAGTTCTCTGATGCTCTATTCATCTTTTTAAAAAATTCTTTTTAATTTCTGCTTCTTAGATTGGATAATCTCAATTGACGTATCTTAAAGTCTGCCAATTCTCTCTTGTGTAAGTTGAAATCTGCTGTTGAGAATCTCTAGGAAATTCTAAATTTCAGATATTTTAATGTACTTGTTTATATTCTTATTTCCCTCACCAGAATGTGAGCTATTTAGAGAAAGGACTAGATCATATTTGTTTTCTAGCCCTAACATTGGGCACACAGAACATACTAAGTGCTCCATAGATAGAATTGAATTGATTAATGTAAATCAAGTTTATATATGAATAGTGTATACCATGCAAACACAGTTAGATCCACTAGATTCTCTCAAGAATTCTTTCAGCATTTAGATAAACTATTTTTTTATATAAAACCAGTTCTAGAATAAATAGAAAGATCAGAAATTTCTTGATTTATCCTGTATGATAGCATAGCATTGTGGTCAGAGTGCCAGCTTCTGAATGAGACAGACTGGGTTCACATTCTTTCTCTGCCACTTACTGACTGTGTAGCCTAGGGAAAGTGGCCACCTATAGGCTCAAATTTCACTTTCTGTAAAACAAAGAGTTGCTATAAGCATGAAGTGACATATAGATGGATACAAAATAATTGGCACAGTTTTAGACACATAGAATACATTCAGTAAATTATATCATCAATAAAATGACCAATATTCCATGCTAAAGAACACCATACATCAATCTCATCAATGTATAGAGACATAACATTTTTCAATAAAATGCTATTTCATATGATTAATCATAAGTATAAAAATATTTCCTTATGACTAGATAAACTTTTTCCTGAACTCAAGAATGTGTCAACATATGGGATTCTAATAATAGACTGAATTTCTTTGCCTAAGATCTATGGTAAAAACTAATCTACCTATGATATTGTAAAGAAGAAAAGAAGAAATGTATGCTAGTTTTTTTGTTGCGTCTCAAACTGCAAAAGTTACAGTGCTTAGTTAAGACAGAAAAGGTATTAAATTTGTTGGCAGAAGACATAAACAGAAATGTATTCCAATTGCCAGCAACAGGTCAATCTTTCCTTTATAATTGATAGGATGTTGATAGCACTACCAGATTTCTTTTCTTAAATTATTATATGTATTGCTTTGTTAATCTATAAGGTTTTTCTCTAGTGGATTTACATTATATATAGAATCAAATACTTATTTCAAGCCCCACCTTCATATTTTGCTTCTCCACATTTATTTTTTATTTTTTTTAAATTTTTTCTCCTGACATTTCCCCATGCTAACTTTGGACTAGAAATAAAGTGGATCATCTCTCTTTTCAAATGTCTTCTGCTTTTCTGCCTCTTTCTGTGTGTTCATTTCATACCTTCTCCCAAAACAGTAACTTGAATCTTTTCCTCAGGTTTAGTTAAAGTGTGCATATATTCACATAATAATCATGTCTTTTCTGAATTTTCCTATATATTTTTGTGTTTATTATTAGGTGAATGCTATTATTACCTAAAATATCTTTATTGTCCTTTTCTACAACTAGATTACAGTCTTCTATAATAGAAAAGTCTAGTTACTTTTGTAGACTCCATTAGCAATGCTTATGATTACTGAGAAAATATTTGGTGATTTCGAAACCAACTTTACACATCACGCTTTGTAAAAATTCAGTTTTAGCTACTCATTTTTTTCCAGTTGTGAAGAAACAATTTCATGTCACTTTTTAGAACATTTAATGTGCTCCGATCAAATGCATCTGTTTAAAATTTTGTTTTTATATACACACAAAAGTTTAAACTATATGATCTTTTACAAGTTGAGTTTACCAAGGAGTAGATATGTCTATTCCACTGTGCGATGGTTGCCATAGAAATGAATAAATGAGGATGTTATTAATTTCGTGATTTTAGGGCGGAGGAATACAGTTTAGAGTGAGAATACTCTGTATGTGAAATAAATATAGACTAGCAATTGCTGCAGAGAAAACTCAATAGGGGCAAAAACAGTTGCTGATTTTCTGTGGTGTTTATTTGTTTGTTTATTTATTTATTTACTGAGACAGAGTCTCGCTCTGTTGCCCAGGCTGGAGTGCAGTGGCGCAATCTCGGCTCACTGCAACCTCCGCCTCCTGGGTTCAAGCGATTCTCCTATCTCAGCCTCCCTAGTAGCTGGGATTACAGGTGCATACCACTACGCCCAGCTAATTTTTGTATTTTTAGTAGAGATGTGGTTTCACCATATTGGTCAGGCTGTTTTCAAACTCCTGACCTCGTGATCTGCCCACCTCAACCTCCCAAAGTGCTGGGATGACAGGCGTGAGCCACCGTGCCCGACTGTGGTGTTTATTTTTTGCCCAGTATAAGCAGGCTGGAGACAACGGACTGTTGAGGAGATCTCTGGTTTTCGGTATCTACCTAACATCCTTCTGGGGCAGCTGTTTTGTGTTTTGTTTTTGTTTTTGTAATGAATAGAACCGGGAAAGACAAATAAAATGAGAAAATGTAGCCTATCTTTTTTTAGCAAAGGAAAAACCAAATGTTTTTGTAGTCACATAATAGCAGACTTTTGTTTGTGACCTGACAACAGAGAGAGGAGGAAAAACTGTTCTGTTCTTAGCAAAGGATAGAACAGGAATTTGATAAAGCCTGACTAATAATTGAAGATAAATAAAGTGAGTGCCTAGTGTTACCTTTAGTTTCCTTTTTAACCTCTTCAAAATATGCTTCATTCATGAATGGCTATGCTTCTCTGATAGCATAAATAATTATTTAAGGTAGACATATATCATTGTGACTTGTTTTCCAATTACCTTGTGTTATAGAAATGTGGATGTTGAATCATGAAAATTTTAGAAGCTACCACTTATTGTGTGACAGTCCCCAACTTATGGTTCAAGTTATGATTTTTTTCAACTTTAAGATGGTACAAAAGTGATATGCATTACACAGAAACAGTGCTTTGAGTATTGATGTTTTCCCATGCCAGCAGTATGTGGTGCAATACTCTTGTGATGCTGGGCAACAACAGCTGTCAATCAGCCACGGGATCCCAAGGTTAAACAACCAATATGCTACGTTGCCCCATGTTGCAAGATGATTTTGTCCAACTCTAGGCTAAGGTAAGTGTTCTGAGCACGTTTAAGGTAGGTTGGGCTAAGGTATGATGTTTGGTAGGTTAGGTGTATTAAATACTTTTTTTTTTTTTTGAGATGGAGTCTCACTCTGTTGCCCAGGCTGGAGTGCAGTGGTGCGATCTTGGCTCACTGCAACCTCTGCCTCCCAGGTTCAAGTGATTCTCCTGCCTCAGCCTCCAGAGTAGCTGGGATTACAGGCACTCTCCACCAGGTCTGGCTAATTTTTTGTATTTTTAGTAGAGATGGGGTTTCACCATTTTGACCAGGCTGGTCTTGAACTCCTGAGCTCAGTGATCCACCCGCCTCGGCTTCCCAAAGTGCTGGGATTACAGGCGCAAGCCACCGTGCCCGGCCTTAAATGCATTTTTGACTTAGGATATGTTCAACTTATGATAGATTTATCAGGATTTAACCTTATCAGAAGTTGAGCAGGTTCTGCATTTTAAACAAGGGCAAAAGAACTGAAAGGTAAGCAGCTTCTAGAATATTGAACTTGTAAGTCTTTATCTATTCAGTCATAATGTCAACATTCAGCAACACTGACAGGAAAGCTATCTCATATTTAATTGGAATCCTTATATTTCAAACTCTATTCCTCAGTTCTTGGTGCTGGTAAAGAATGCATCCTTTATCAGAGCTAGATTTACCAATGGAGTCTAGCTTCTCAGCTTCTCACTTGCAGGGGTCCCTTACAGGGCCTTGGGAGGGATCCCAGCATTGTGTTGCATGGACGTATATTTTCATAACATTTGCAAAATTAAGATATTTTAATTGTGCTTAGTTGGATTACTGTCACTCATCCATACTTACTGTTATCATGCTTTCTCTTGGTGCTAGATAGCAGGAGAATGGTCATGGGCATTTGCGGATCAGCTAAAGGGAAGTCTAATGTTGAATACGTGTATTTTGGTGTGGTGGACATATTTTTGTAGTTCACAGACTCACTTCTATGTGTAGTTCAGTTGTTGCTAGTTATCCCATGACAGGAATTGTTTCCAGGAGTATTACTACTTGGTACCCACTGGTGACTTACATAGTGTCATGAAATAAAGATGTAGGACCAGACATTTTAAAATCAAATGAGCTTGTCCTGTGACACTTGCCACTGGACCTACATGGGAAGTGGGAACAAATAAGGGTTAAAGGCTTTGCAGATGCCACCGCCGCTGTGAGCCCTGTACTATCAGCCATGGTCAACCCCACTGTGTTCTTCGACTTCACTGTCAACAGCGAGCCCTTGGGCCGCATCTCCTTCGAGCTGTTTGTGGACAAGTTTCCAAAGACAGCAGAAAACTTTCATGCTGTGAGCACTAGAGAGAAAGGATTTGGTTATAAGGGTCCCTGCTTTCACAGAATTAATCCAGGGTTTATGTGTCGGGGTGGTGACTTCTCATGCATAATGGCACTTGTGGCAAGTCCATCTACGGGGAGAAATTTGATGACGAGAACTTCATCCTAAAGCATACAGGTCCTGGCATCTTGTCCATGGCAAATGCTGGGCCCAAAACAAATGGTTCCCAGTTTGTCATCTGCACTGCCAAGACTGAGTGGTTGGATGGCAAGCATGTGGTCTCTGGCAGGGTGAAAGAAGGCATGAATATTGTGGAGGCCCTGGAGCACTTTGGGTCCAGGAATGGCAAGACCAGCAAGAAGGTCACCATTGCTGACAGTGGACAACTCAAATAAATTTGACCTGTATTTTATCTTAACCACCAGACCATTCCTTCTGTAGCTCAGGAGAACAGTCCTCCACCCCATTTGCTTGCAGAATCCTAGAATCTTTGCCCTGTCTCTGCAGTTCCCTTTGGGTTCCATGTTTTCCTTGTTCCCTTCCATGCCTACCTGGATTGCAAAGTTAAATTTATGATTATGGAATAAAAACTAAATAACAAAAAAAATGAGTGTTGAAATGTTCAGATCTAGAAGCTGATCTATGGAAGATTTTTCTATTTGTCAGACATGTAAAATTATAGGCAGAGAATTGGTTCTCATCAACACCTAATCCAATACCTAATCAAAATGGAAAATCTCCCTTATTAGGAATATTTGATAATGTAGCATATACAATGATCAGTGTATCATATATTTTTTCATTTTTGGGGGAATTATACAATGGAGAATTGATCAGAATGTGTTTTTATAGGGCACAAACCTATGGGTACTAAAAAAAGCACATGTCTGTATGAAGTTATATTTTTGTGCATCCTAACTTCATTTTTAAAAAATTCAATTGACCATCCTAGAAGGCAGATTGAATTATCTCTCTATTTTTTCTCTATAAAGTTACATAGAACCATTGTCATATGATGAGGCAAAATATGGAACATATAAAGGTACACTACACAGTCAATAAAAATATTTTTTGAATGTCTGATGTTTGTGATAGTTGTCAGTTTTTTAAAATTTTGCAGTTTATTGTGATTTCATTTTTCATTCTGAAAATATTGTTCTCCTGAGTAACTAATTTGTTATTCTTTTCTTTATGTATCCCCCCAAATTATATGTTTAATGTCTCAGAACATTTATATTTGCCCTTCTGCACTATGTAATGATATTTAAAGCATCTTATCAATTTAGTTAAAAAATTGAGTGAGACACTGAAACCATTTTTTGAAACTATATAGAAACAGCTTAAAAATTTTCACATTGTATGCTCATTTCATATGCTCATTCCTTTTTTTCTAAGAACAACAATCTTAGTTTTAAAAATATTTCTTTGTGTGTTATATTCTGAATACCATTGCTGTCCAATAGAACTTTCTGTGATGATGGAAATGTTCTATATCTAGACTGTATAATATGATAGCCACTAACCATATGTGACTGTTAAGCACTTGAAATGTAGCTGGTGAGTCTGAGGAATTAAGATAATAACTTTATTTAATTTACATTTACACAGCCAAGTGTTTGGCTATGTAACAGAGTTTATACCTTTAATCAACTTGGGGATTAATCCTTCATCTCCTATCCACATTTCTATCTAGTCATTGAGTATAGGATTCTATGTCTCTATGAAGTAAAATCCTAACTCATAACTAATATAACATGTATTATTCAGAAGATTGTGTTTTATTTTTCAATATTTCTCAAATCAAATATTCTTGTATTCTGATTATGTTGTAGACATTTTTATAGACAGGTCTTATTTATTTTGTTTATAGTTTGCAGATACTGGAAAGCTTAACACAGTTTTGTGGAAATTCCCCATTAAAACATGCTTTTCAACATGGTAAAATCAATCAACTCAAAGATGCTTTATTTGGGGAAAACGATGCATGGAATCCAATCAATAATGACATTCCGTTTGCCTAAAAGTTGTGCTTACTAAACTGAGCTTGGCAAAAGTTTGACACGTTCAATAAATGGAGACTTTGTGCTATATCAGAATTAACAGCTCTTAGCCGGATATTTCATATATTCTACAAATATAGAGTGATAGACAAGGCAGATGCAGCCATGACCTGCCCCCTGGAAGATGACTGTTTATACCCAAGAACAATTCCTGGAATGTAACAGGAAACTGCACATGACCATATATCTAAGCTGGGTATTTCTCTGGCTTCCTGTTAGAGAAATGACGGATTTTCACTCCCCTCCAGGCACAGAAGAAAATCACTCTGAAAACCATACAGAAGAAAATATGTATTTAAAACAAATGTGACTTCCCAATATCTGATTCTTAATAGAATAATCTCCAGATAGCTATTGAAACAGTAGGAGTTGGAAATCTAAACAAAAGCTTCAGAAGAATCAAGAGCAGTCTAGAGTTTCAGTATAATGCAAAATTATTCTGAAATTCAGTAGTAGTACTAAACAATCTCTCAATCTTTAGGCCCACAAAAATTTACAGAAGTTTGCAAATTTGAGTCAAGACATTTTTCCTTGTTACTTCTTCTCTATTTACATAATATGCCTATGTTTTAGTCTACTGTTTTCATGCTAATGATTGAAAAATCACAATTATTCTATTAATACCCTGTATGCATATGTAATGTTAAGTATTGGGTTAAAACTAAAATGGTTAGGCAAACATCAACATATTTTCGTTTTAGTTAATTGTGTCCTTGAGGCAAGTGGGTGATGAGGCATTTTTTTCAATTTTCTCTTAGAATGAACCCTAGTGCTGGGTGCACACAAATTCAGTTTGCTTATAAAAAGGAATGCTTATAAAAACCCAGAGTAATAAAAGATTTTTTAGAGGCTCCATTTTCTTTATATTTTGATATTTAGGTTCTCAGCATGTAAGCATTTGCTAATTTTTTGAGCAGGGTTCACAGTTTATGTAGAGATATAATTACTTTCTAAAACTTACGTGTCCATATAAGAAAAATCCTGACTTAGCATTTATTTAATGGATTTAAAGGCTTAAAAACATTGGGACCCCTTTCCAATATAATTAAATAATAACAAATTTTGAAAGAAGAAATGAATATTTGTCAAGCTGAGGAAGATAAAGCCACCTAGGATTACAATGTACACTTTAGCAGTGGAGTCATAGTTTTACATAAAGCTGAGAGTTAATTAATGGACCATGAAAAAGTAAGGTTAAAAAAAAAAACAGAGAAAACACTATGAGAAAACCTCAGGAATGAGAGTGTTTATAACGTTCTTTTACGTGATATTTCAAAGTTATTAAAAAAGTTATAAGGAAATATTATGAGCCACTTTATGCCAATGGACTCAACAAAACAGATAAAGTGAGTAAGTTCCTAGAAAGGTAAAAATTACCACAGTTCACTCAAAAATAAATTGATACACAAGTAGCCCTGCCTTCACTATAGAATTGAACTTTTAGTTACCAGCCTTTCTGTAAATATAGTTCCAGGCCCATAGAGCTTCACTGGTAAATCCTTGAAAACATTTAGAGAGGAAATGCCATCTACACACAGGCTCTTTCAGAACATTGAAGAGAACTGAAGAGAAGAAACACTATCTTTAGCTTTTTAGGCAGTTATGCAAACATCTTGTAGCACCCTTTCTTCAGATGGCCTGGACCGTAAAAATATTCTTGGAGAATTGTCTCCCAAAATATATTAGTAATGGAGACTTGGAAATTAAAATTAAAAAAATTATTTTCATAATCGCAATACAAGTTGTTTATGTTTAAGGATAAACCTGAAAAAGGTGTGCAAGATCTGTACACTGAAAACTACAAAACATTATTGAGATTATTCTAAAATATTTAATAAATGAAGACATATGCCATATTAATGGATTGGAAAACTCAAGTATTATTAATATATCAGTTCTCCCTAAATTGTTCTATAGATTCAACATTGTCCCACTTGAAGTCCTGGAGGCTTTTTTGTAGAAGTTGTTAACCTGATTCTTAAATTTATACGAAAATGTAGAGAACTAAACTCTTTGAAAAAGAACAAAGTTGGATGGCTGAAATTACCTGTCTTCAAGACTTAAAAACGATAGTAATCAAGACAGTGTAGTATTGGAGTAAAGATAGACAAATTGAATCATAATACAGAATAGCGTCCAGAAATACACTCACACATATTATCAACTGATTCTTGAAAAAGTTTAGAAAGGATAGTCTTTTCAAAAATTAATACTGAAACACATGGATATTCCATAGGTAAAAAATAAGAAAGTTAAGTATAATCTTACCTCATACAATTTCAAAATTTAACTCAAAATTTATCATTGACTTAAATATAAGTTCTAAAACTATAAAACTTTTAGAAGGAAGCACAGGAGGAAATTATCGTACTCTTGACGGAGAGAGTTTTTAGCTGTGATATGAAAGCACGATTCATAAAACAAAAATGTGATAAATCGGACTTCACCAAGATTAAGATCTTCTCCGCTTCCAAAAACATGGTAAAAGAATGAAAAGATAAGCCTCAAACTGGAAGAAAATATCTGCAAATCGTATGTCTAATAAAGATATGGATCCAGAATATTTAATGAATTCTCAAAATTCAGTTGGAAAACAAGCAAAAAAGCCCCGATTTTATGGGCAAGAGATTTGAACAGACACTTCACTAAAGAGGGCATATGGCTCTGTACAATATGAGGACACAGGTAGAAGACATCTTTTATGAGCCAGGAAGACGGCCCTCACCAGACACTGAATCTGCTTGGAAATTGGACTTTCCGGTCTCCTAAACCGTGGCTTACTAGAGACGTTGTATACCAGTTGTCAGAAAGAAGGTCTAAAGTTACGGGAGAATGATCATGGCCTGAGTGGAGTGCTGAGGGAAAGGAGTTGGAACCCGTCAGAGAACTCACAGGAAGAAGCTGAGGTGCAGAAAAGCAAAGCAGCAAGAGTCTGGCAAAGATTAATCCCTGAGGAAATTGGAGTCCCATGGAAAGGGTAGATGGGGGTGTATGTTTATTCCCACATCCCAGCGGTAAACTGCTGACTGCTGAATTGTCAGAGAACCCCTCTGTCCCTGAGAGGCACTGCTGTGAGTGGCAGTTTGTGAACTTCTGGAAAGCAGATCACAGGGCAGCCATCTTGCACAAGTTTGCTGGCTCTTCCTTCAAATGCAAGGTGAGGTGACCAGTGCCATATTGCTGTGCAAACATTGTGGACCACTATCCTGCCAAGGAAATCTCAGCTTATGTTTCTCTGCATCACTAGATCCCCCACAAACACTTCTCAGAACCCACTCTGTGGCAGCCACAAGGGACTGGCAGCACCCTGGGGAGCTGTGGAATCCCCGGAGATCTAGCTCTCAGCATGGGCTTCTCCTAGAGGAAGGGGAATTGCAGTCCACTAAAAGACCTCTTGAAACAAAGGAAACCAGATTGTCTGCTTTTCCCTGCATGAGAGCCCTCCTGCTTGTGACCAGACAGTGACTGGACCCCTCCCAATGGAGACATGGGTGTGGTGCTAGTCTCTGAAGCCGAGAAGGTTTGTTCTGCCTCAGCAGCAAGCAGCACCATTGGCCAGGAATTAACATGGAGAGGAAGTCTTCTCCTGCTCCCCCTGTCCACTGTTATGGACACAACTGTGACCTCTCCTACTGGGAGCTGGCATGGGTGGACTTGGAGAAAGTCCTTCCAGTGCCATGCAGGGTGATGTACCCCCACTGAAAGTGAGCCCACTGGCCCAGGCTTGCACAAAGGGAAGGATTCATCTCTCCCTTTCTATGCAGAGTGGCAGTGTTCCTGCAGTGGCATGTAGACCAGCTGAGGGCTGTCTGTTTTGGGCTGAGGAAAGAGGTTCCACCCTGAAGCCATTTCAGTGGTAGTTGTGGGATACGCATTTTTCACAGACCTCAGTTGCACTGTGGCCTGGAAGTAAAAGACAGTACTTATGTGAACTGAAGGTTGTAAGCCCTGGGATGGGGTCTGATAGGGAAGTGGATCATGTTTCTTCCTGGCAGGATGAGAAACTGATGCAGCCCCCTCTTGCACACCCCCTACAAAGATGTCAGAGCATCCCACCAGGAGGTATCCCCCCAATCCCTGTCAAGACAAGTGATTTCATTCATTATTGGGGTATCCGAGGAAGAGTCAGCTCTTACTTGTAAGTGCCACGTACTGGGCTGGAGACTGAAATGCACAACCAAAAGAAAAACCTACTGACACAAGGGCATAGTGCTAAGGAACTAGATAAGCTTGCTGAGACATCTGCAGCCCTGTGGAAGACAGTTAGTTGGCTTATACACTCCATACATTGTTACAACAACCAGAATTTGAGAAAACCACTTATGCAAAAGTCATCTACAACCAAGGAACTCATAGGGAGTCTTGGTCCCCTGAAAGTGCCCAGTCTTGAAGCCAAATGATGACACACAACATACATTACAGTTATAACCTCAAGGGAGAGGATAATACAAATTTAAAAATCCAATCCAAATGAAAGCAAATTCAAATATAAGAAGTGACAGCTTCTTCAAATAAGAAGGAATCATTGTAAAAACTCTAGCAGTACAAAAAGACAGTGTGTCCTGTGAACTTTGAAAGGAGAGAGGGTGAGAGAGGAGTTAGGGTTGAAAAATTACCTCTTGGATACATGTTTAATATTTGGGTGATGGGTGCACTAGAAGCTCAATCTCCACTATTAAGCATGTACTATCCATGTAACAAACAAGCACATGTATCCCTGAATCTAAAATTAAAAAAAAAGACAGAGTGTTTAGACGCCCCAAAGAATCACACTAGATCTCTAGCAATGGATCATAAGCAAAATGAAAACTCTGAAATGACAGATAAATAATTCAAAATACAGATCATAAAGAAGCTCAATGATATCCAAGACAAAGTTGAAAATCAAAACAAAGAAATTGTGAAAACAGGATAGGAATGAAAAATTTGCTAAAGAGATAGATACATAAAAAAACAGGACTTATGGAAAAGAAAAATTTATTGGAAGAATTATAAAATATAGTAGAAAATTTAACAACAGAGTAGACCACGTGTAGGAAAGAATTTTAGAGTTTGAAGACCCATTATTTGAATTAACCCCGTCAGACAAAAATAAAGAGAAATGAATTTTAAAAATGAAAAAGCCTTCAAGAAATATGGGATTATGTAAAGTGACCAAAACTATAACTTATAAGCATTCCTAGGGAGAAGAAGTAAAAAATAGAAAATTTGGAAGATGTATTTGACAAAATGATCAAGAAAACTTCCCAGTTCTAGATAAATAATTAGATATCCAGATACGGGAACTTCAAAGAACATTTGGAATAATCTCTGCAAGACAAGGCTCATCAAAGCATATGTTCGTGAGGCTATCCAAAATTGACATGAAGGAATACATCCTAAAAGCAGCTGGAGAGAAGCATCAAAGCACCTATAAAGGAAATCCCATTAGACTAACAGTTGACTTCTCAGCAGAAACCTTAAAAGCCAGAAAGGACTGGGGTCCTATTGTCAGCCTCTTTGAAGAAAACAATGCCAGCCAAGAATTTCATATCCTGCTAAACTAAGCTTCATCAATGAGGGAGAAATGAAATCTTTCTCAGATAAGCAAATGCTAATGGAATTTATTACCAGTACACTGGCTCTCCAAGAAATGCTCAAATGAATTCTAAACATAAAAATGAAGGGAAAGGATGTACTCAGGATTATAAAAGCACACATAAGTACAAAGGTCACACCCTACAAAGAAATTACACAATCAAGATTACAAAGCAACTAGGTAACAACATTATGACAGGAACAAAACCTCACATATCAATATTAGCCTTGAACGTAAATGGCCTAAATGCTCCAGTTAATAGGTATAGACTGGAAAATTGGATAGAACAAAACACAACAAGATTCAACCATTTGCTGCCGACAAGAGACCCACCTAACAGATAAATACACACACAGACTCAAAATAAAGGGGTGAAAAAGATATACCAGACAAACATAAGACAAAAACAAGCAGGAGTAGCTATACTTATATCACATTGAACAGACCTTAAATCAATGAAAGTTAAAAAGATAAGATTATTATATAATGTTAAAGGGTTCAATTCAACATGAAGATATAACCATTATAAATTTATATGTACCCAACAGCAGTCCACCCAGCTTCATGAAACAAATCCTCCTAGACCTAAGTAAAGAGACAGAGAGCAGTTCAATAATACTGAAGTCTTCAAAACACCACTGAGAGCACTAGGCAGATCACTAAGGCAGAAAATCCACAAAGAAACTCTGGACTTAAACTGGTTGCCAGACCAAAAGGACCTAATAGACATTTACAGAATATTCCACAAAACAATTGTAGAGTAAACATTTTTCTCATCTGGGCATGGAACATTCTTGAAAATAAACCATATGCTTGGCCATAAAGAAAATCTCAATAAGTTTTTTAAAAACCTGAAATCACGTTGCATATCTTTTCAGACTACAGTGGAATAAAATTAGAAATCAATACCACCAGAAACTCTGAAAGCTATAGAAACACTTGGAGACCAAACAACTTGCTCCTGAATGATCTTCAGGTAAATGATGAAATTAAAGCAGAAATCAAAAAAATTTTTGAAACGAATAAAAATAGAGACACAACATAGCAAAACCTCTAAGATATAGCAAAAACAGTGCTAAGAGGAAAGTTTATAGCAAAATATCTACATAAAAAAGATAGAAAAAAATTAAGTTAACAACCTAATGTCATACTTCAAGGAGCTAGACAAAGAAGAAAAGAAATAAAAAAGATCGGAGCAGGACTGAGATTGAGACAAAAAAATACAAAGGATCAATGAAATAAAAAGTTGTTTCTTTGAAAAGATAAAGAAAATCAATAGACTGCTAGCTCTACTAACCAAGAAAAAAGAGAGAAGATTCAAATAATATTCAACATCGTACTGGAAATCCTAACCAGAGCAACCAGGCAAGGGAAAGAAATAAAACAAAAACAAAAACAAAAACCAAACAAAAAACATCCAAATTGGAAAAGAGGAAGTCAAATTATCTCTGTTCACTGATGACATGATCTTATACCTGGAAAACACTAAACACCCCTCCAAATGACTCCTAGACTTGATAAATGACTTCAGTCAAGTTTCAGGTTACAAACTTAATGTACAAAAATCAGTAGCATTTCTACACATCAATAACGTTCAATCTCAGAAGCAAATCAAGAACTCAGTCTCATTTATAGTAACCACAAAAAATTAAATAAAATACTTTGGAGTACAGCTAACCAAAGAGGTAAAAGATCTCTACAAGGAGAATTACAGAACACCAATAAAAGAAATAGTAGATAACACAAATGGAAAAACATCTCATGCTCATGGATTGAAAGAATCAATGTCATTAAAATGGTCACATATTCTAAAGCAATGTAAGACTCAGTGCAATTCCTATCTAATTACCAATATCACTTGCCACAGAATTAGAAAAAATAATCCTAAAATTCGTATGGAACCAAAAAAGAGCCCAGATAGTCCAAACAATCCTAAGCAAAAATAACAAAGGTGGAGGCATCACATTACCTGATTTCAAATTATGCTACAAGACTATTGTAACCAAAACAGCATAGCACTGACACAAAAGTAGACATATAGATAAGTGGAACAAAATAGAGAACCTACAATAAAATGATCTTTGATAAAGCCAAAAAAAAAAAAAAAAAACACAATGGGGAAAGGACACCCGGTGAAAATTGGCATATGCGGAAGAAAAAAAACTGGATCCATATTTCTCACCATATACAAAAATTAACTCAAGATGGATTAAAGCCTTAAATGTAAGACATGAAAATACAAAAACCCTGAAAGAAATCCTAAGAAAAACTCTTAAGACATTGGACTAAGCAAAAAATTTAAGACTAAGACCTCAAAAGCAAATGCAACAAAACCAAAAATAGATAAGTGGGAGTGAACTAAACTAAAAGGCTTCTGCAGAGCAAAAGAGATAATCAACAGAGTAAACAGACAACCTACAGAATGGGAGAAAATATTTTCAAACTGTGCATTGAACAAAGGACTTATATCCAAGGTTGACAAGAAACTCAAACAACTCAACAAGAAAAAACGCGATCCCATGAAAAAGTGGGCAAATGACATGAACAGATAAGCACATAACTAGATGCTCAACATCATTATTCGTTAGGAAAATACAACATAAATATACAATGTACTATTTCTGCAAACCCATTACAATACCTAAAATTAAAAGGAATGACCTTATCAAGTGTTGGTAAAAAGATGGAGAAACTGTAAACCTTACACATTGCTTATGGGATGTAAAATGGTGAAACCACTTTGGAAAACCATTTTGGCAATTTCTTAAACAGTTATAGATATACCTGTATATAACCAAGCCATTTAAATTCTAGATATTTCTGTAAGAAAAATGCAAGCCTCAATGACTTGTGCATTAGTGTTCATAGTAGTCTTATTTGTAACAGTGAAAGCCAGGAAACAACTCCAATGTCCATCAACCAGTGAATGTATAAACAACTGTGGTTTACACAATAAAATACTACTCAGCACTAAAAAGGAATACATGCCTCAATGCAGATAAATCTCATATAATTATGCTGTCCAGCAAATACTGGATAAATACAAAAGGTATCTCAAAGAAGCAAATGATCAATTTTGAAAAGTGTGATAATAGAAACCAGGAGTTGTTGGGGGAGCAAATCAGATGATGTTACTTTGCTGTCTCTGCGAATGGTATCAGTCTTTATTCATTTGCTGAAGTAAAATACGTGGACATCCTCTTAGACTTATTTTATCCCTTGCTCTTTCACCCAATTAGTTATAGTTGCTTTTCTCTCCTATATTAGATATTTTCGAAATGTATCTTATTTCTGTCTTGTTTTCTCTGATTCATCATCCACTACTTTGGTCAGCTCTTAATTATTTCCTACCTACAAGTACTTTGTAACCATTCTCTCTACTTCCAGTCTTCTTTTACAATCAATCTTCATGCAACGAAGGGAAGCAGTTACCTGAGGGCAGGGTACCAAGCACCTACCACAAGTAGAAAAGAGAAAGTTCTAGCTATAGGAGGCCAGGTGACAAGAGCTGTAGGCTTTGATAGAGACCATGGTTCAGCACAGCCATTGCTGAACCATTGCCTGGAGGGAAATGGGGAACAAACACTGACTTCACCTTCCTCTCACTCTTCAGTCTCCTGCCATTGTCCTTCATTGGACAAACCAAAACTGGAAGCCAGGGAGACCAGTTGATGGAGTCCACAAAGGTCAGCCTTCCCGGGCACAAAGCAGGGTGGAAAAGACATAGAGTGGATTTGGAGAGGCAAACAGAGGCTGTATCAGTTCATCCTTCTAAAACATAACCCTGATGGTATCATTCCCCTTATGAAAATAGCCTTGTGCATGTTTCGGAGCAGGAGCAGATCTTTGACCCTTCCTTCAAACTTGAAGGGTAATACCTTGTTGTTATCATTAATATTTATTTGTAAGAAAAATTATGTGCTGAACTAAATTAATGATAACTATAATTTATTAAGTGACTACTATGTGACAGGCACACTCTTAAGTATTTTATGTATATTGTCTCATTTAATCCTCTCAATATCTCGGTGAAAGAGTTGTTACTTTCATTATTTTACTGTTAAGGAAGCTTGTCTGGCTTTACCATGATGTGGGATTACATGTGCATAGTCAGTAATCTCACATGAATTCAGTAATACTTGTAAGGAGGAAGATGTGATAAAGCAAAATGACAAATTAAATAATACAGGTGATTTCACTCGCCTTTCCACTGTCAACACTGAGTGAAAAACTAGAGTTTATTTATTTTTTAAACATACACTAACTAGCTTATCTGGTACTCAATGGAAGAAACAAAGCAGGAAAAAAATTGGAAATTATGATTTATTAAGAGATAGTGAGTTGTTTTCCAATGTGGCTTAATTTGCATACCTTATTTTCATCTTATTCACTGACTTTGAAACCTAACCCTTTGAAAAGCTGGCTCCACTGTTAAGAATTAGAGCCTAGATTAAAACCCAGGCTGATTAGCAAAGTCTGTCTGATGATCAACCCTGTGCTCCTCAGCACTGCTGTATACAGCCTGGATAAATAAAAGGATAAAAGCTGTCAACTTTTTTTTTGTTTCTCCTTGCAGAATTGGGAGCTCAAGATTATTTCCCTTTCCCTCAGTTTGCTGTTACTTAATATTTTCGAATGCCTGCAACTTGAAAGGCAATGGAAATTTTATATATCCTGCCATTGTCTTTTATTAGCATGATTTTTATGAAAGGGTACACTTATACAATAGTATTCATATTTTAGAGTATAGGATATGTCAAATTTCTATTGGATATAAAAAGTTTATTTCCATAACTTATACAATATATGTCAGAAAAACGCTGGTGTTTTCAAGACTGGTAGCAGTTGTTTTCTCTTTCTGTTGGCTTTCTTTGTCTAAATATTGTGCAGAAATATTTAGTACTCATAATCTAACACTGTTAGAGATTCAAATACATCAATTTTTTAAAGCAGAAGATACTTTTTAAAAAAGAAACTATTAATGAATACTACACTCTAGTTGGAATAATCATATATTTCTCTTTGAGTCCATATTCCTGCTTTCAAAATAAGCCTTTCTAATTAGAAAGGCATTTCAAAAATGCCTTTCTAATTCATAAGGCATATCAACTTTATTGCTATTTATTTTTAAGCTTTATCTTCTGTGTTAAAGATTCATGTATTTTTTAATTTGAATTTTGAGGGTGCCTAGTATGTCCCTGCAAATAAGATACTCAGCAATGACTGCTGAATGAATGAATTTTCTAGATGACAGCTACCAAGATTTATTCTGAATTTCATTAATTTCATTTATAGTTGACCTTGAACATCTGTAATATTTATATATAAGAAATGACATAAAATTCTTATACAGTTATCATCTTTATATTTTTATACTTTGAAATAAAATGTGTTTATTTTAAGCCGAAAACAACAATAAGAGCAACAACAAGAAAACTATCAATGGCAGAAAGCAAAAAGTAGCAGTAAGTGTTCTGTTGGGTGTGCATAGAATTTTTTTCAAAGTTTTTGAGTCAACAGTTTAAAGTTAGATTATTTGAAATAAAAATTGAGATTTCTAGATTTTCTTAAAATCTGAAGATAAGCCAACACTTTCTCTATTCCCAATGCAGCCTTTTAGACCTGGCCCTTGGCACCCTCTGGTTCACCACTGGCCCCACCCCTCTTGCAGTGCATGCATCTTCACTTACAACTGGCTCCAGTCATCATTTATACCAGGTGCCTTGAGACTGAGAGTATGTGAGAATAATAATCAGGTTGAATGGTTTTAAGGAAATCTGTTTTTGGATTATCAAGTTCTGGTATTCTTTCCTAAATTAGTCTGACTGAGATCCTGCCTGAGTTCATGATAACCCTTCTTCCACTATGGAAAACAAGATGTGTCCTCTTCCATCCCAAATCTATCTGTGGAGTAGGGCTTTGGGGCATACAATTTATTTTATACAAGCCTCTTGTAATGATTAATCAGAGCACCACAGAACTCGGGAGCTGCTTGTCCTTCCTGTATTCCATTTTTGGGTTCTTGGAGAAGCCAGGCGTAAGAAAGGAGGTCCCTATTTGATGCTTTAAATTCAGATAAATTCTTTAATAAGGTTATGAGAACAATGTTTATTTTACTCATTTGCTAACTAATTAAACTTATTTTGAACAAATATATGATTCTATTGAGGGAAAGTCTCTCTATTCATACAACTAAAGAGTATTTATAAGAGACACTGAACTAATAAAAACCTACTTATTTATTTAGTTTTTAAAATTTAATCGTAAAGAGTTATCTTTAGTCAATCTTAATTTTCTTCTTATTTCAGATTGCTATCCAGGTATGATTTAGCAATATATACCTTTCTCTTTTATAAATAAACAGGAACAAAATTATTATAAAGTCCGATGAAATTAATGGCTTTAGCTATAACTTTGATACTCAATTATTATTTTTAATTGTTCCTCAAATCTGCACACCAGAGGACCACTACACTGTGTATTATCCTTCTCAGTCTATATATAACTTAAAATGTTAGCTACACACCTTGGATTGCATTATTACAAATTAAGTGTCCGTCTTGGTCAGTGTTTTTTATTTATATAATTCCCTGAAACTCCTATTATATATATTTGAATTGAAAATGGTGTTCTGACTTTTTGTTTTTGTAAGAATATAAGTCTAATTTTGTTGATTAATTTGACAGTGAGGATGGTTCTATCAATTAGATATGATACTTATTTTCTGTAAATCATGTAAGCTAAATCCGCAGGTCCAAGTTGCGATGAAAATATATTTTAAAAGTATAATAATATAAAACTTTTACTTAAAACATTATATGTGCAATTAACATTATATTTGCAAAATTAACAATATTTTTATTTTCTCAACTCTTTTGAGTCTTTTGGGCTAAACTAAATATTTCCAGGTGAAAGAACGACAGAACTATTTAATAATCATTTGATAAGTGTTGGCAAAGACTTTTTTATTTCGTTCCTAGAAATTGAGTAAGGGAATGATAGGACACAAACAAAATTCTATTTTTTTTTTTGAGACGGAGTCTCTCTCTGTCGCCCACGCTGGAGTGCAGTGGCACGGCGAGATCTGGGCTCTCTGCAATCTCCGCCTCCTGGATTCAATTGATTCCCCTGCTGCAGCCTCTCTAATAGCTGGAATTACAGGCGCCCGCCACCACACCCAGCTAATTTTTGTATTTTCAGTAGAGACGGGGTTTCGCCATGTTGGCCAGGCTGGTCTCCACCGTGTGATTGGCTTGCCTCGGCCTCCCAAAGTGCTGGGATTACAGGCGTGAGTCACCGCGCCCGGCTCACAAAATTCTTTTACGCTTTAGGTGGTTTCCAATTCTTTGCTTTCAACAAGTTTGGAAGAGAACTTAATAAAGTAGACAGCTGATAGCATATAAAAAAGTAACTTTTAAGGATAGATGGTTATGTGATTTTGACAGAGAGCTCATAAACTTTTTAAAAATTTAGTGACACTACAATAACAAAACTTGTTTATATAAGGTTTCTCAGAGATTACATTAATTAAAATGAAAAATTGCAACGGAATTGATACTGACCCCTTTATCAGTCTGGCCAGATGAAATATGGAATAATTGAAAAAAGGAAACCTAATCCCATCTAAGTCATGCAAGAGATGCATTCACAGTAAAATTTCGTTTTATGTTCATTGTGATTTGTATTGTATTTATGTTGTTTTAATCAATTGTTTATAAAATATAGAATATATTAAAATTTATATACATGTATTAGTTATAGAAAAGCCTGATGCATAATCATTAAAATACTTTGTGATTTTTAATTTTCAAGCATAATACACTACATACAAATAAAGTTCAATGGAGAAAACGAATGGAAATACAACTTAAAGGAAAAGAAGAAAATGTATAAAATTTCTAAATGTTAAAGATGAGCTTTTCTTTGTAATGGTGATGGTAAATAACATCATTAAAGTGTTTAGCTTCCACTTGATAAATTTAAAACCATGATTTAACTGCTTTGTTAAAAATGTTTTATTTATGGCCAGGCGCGGTGGCTCACGCCTGTAATCCCAGCACTTCGGGAGGCCGAGGCAGGCAGATCACGAGGTCAGGAGATTGAGACCATCCTGGCTAAAACGATGAAACCCCGTCTCTACTAAAAATACAAAAAATTAGGTGGGCGTGGTGGCGGGCGCCTGTAGTTCCAGCTACTCCGGAGGCTGAGGCAGGAGAATGGCGTGAACCTCGGAGGCGGAGCTTGCAGTGAGCCGAGATCGTGCCACTGCACTCCAGCCTGGGCGACAGAGCAAGACTCCGTCTCAAAAAAAAAAAAAGTTTTATTTACAATATGCTGAAAAACAAATGCATTGCAATTATTTAAACGCATAATGAAAAATTTTAGATGACTTAAAAATACGTGAGGGATGCATAGTTTTTCCGAAATTACTTTAGGGGCTATATGAGCAAAACGTTTGTTCCTGTAGCGTTTGATTTTGTAACTTCTGCTCTGAGGTAGGTTTGTGTGCATAATAGAAAACGTCTTCATTTGAGGGAAACTGTTCCAGAATATTTAAATTAATCTTAAGTAACTGGAACTAAATATTTAAAAGAGCCTCTGTAGTTAGAATGCACACTGCTTAGTGAGAAAGAGAAAAACTCTCTAAGAGAGGGGTGTCCAATCTTTGGGCTTCCCTGGGCGACTTTGGAAAAATAATTGTCTTGGGCCACACATAAAATACACTAACACTAACCATAGCTGATGAGCTTTAAAAAATCGCAAAAAAACCCCTCATAATTTTTTGAGAAAGTTTATGAATTTGTTTTGAGCTACATTCAAAGCCATCTTGGGCTACATGTGGCCAATGGGCCGGTTGGACAAGCTTGCTATAAGAGATGAAGTGGATTTCAACACACAAGGTGCACGTGTTTCACAGCTAAATGAACATTAAATTCATACCAAAGAATGGAAAGAAATTAAAAGTTCTCATTGTGTACATTGAAGTTTAAGATGCTACAAACCTTAGAGAGCTATCAACAGGTTTACTGTAGTGTAGGATAAATAACCTTAATTGTCTTACATAAGTGAATTTCTTATCATTGTCTTCTGTTGAGTGAATTTTAGTACTTAAAAAAGATTTTGGAGGAGAGAGTTAGCTGAGTTAACTTTTCGTGTTTATATTTATAGGTTAGTGTAACTATTTAGTTCTAGAAAGATAAAAAATGATAAAAGTCATAAATAGAAAATAATTTTTGAATATTCAATTGACACAAACAATTTTAATGAGTTAAATAACAGACGTTTAATGGTATTGGTGTCTTCCTTGATTTTAATTTTTGCTTTTGACACCAGAAAGGAAAAACAAAGAATAGTCTTTGCTTTCTCACTTTCAACTAAACGTGATTTTAGCAAAAGGTACGGAGGGAAAATAAGTCATCCCAAAATGAAGAGGATATTAAAGAAGTAAGGAAGTGATATAAGCTTTTCTCTTTTTTGATAATGCTGTCTTCACATACACCAACTCCAGTACAACAATAGGAACAAACTGAAAAAATGATGATGAAATGTACAATGTTCATGGATTAAGTTAAACCCACAATGAATAAAGGCACTATGCATCACAGCAATATTATCCTTAGTGATTAGCAAATTTTCTCAAAAAATCCAGTGCACTCCACAATGCAGCTCCTTCTTTCTCCTTACATTCATGACAAAAGGACGTCAGTGGCACTGAAAATCACAGGGCACCTTTGCTAGCTGAGATGGAGGAAAGTCAGAGCTGTAGAAAGTTGTCCACAAGAATAATAATCTCCAGTCCATAAAATGACACAAATTCTGCCCCTTTGGCATATTTTGTGAATGGGGCCTGGCTTCCTGTGAGCTGGCAACATGCTCCAGACTGGGGTTCTACCAGTGGTATAGAAGCTTACGTGTCTCTGTTGCTCAACTATATTCACTTTACAGATAAATAAATGGAGGCTTAAAAATATAAGTAAAGTACCCAGAGTACATGATTTGTAGGTGGCTGAAACTGGAATTTTACATGTCTGACTCTGTGTTCTTTATAAAAATTTTAAAAATAGATTTATAGATTTGGGGGTACAAGTGCAGATTTCTTTTTATTTTATTTCTTTTTATTTTTTGAGATGGAGTCTTGCTCTGTCGCCGAGGCTGGAGTGCAGTGGTGCACTCTCAGCTCACTGCAGCCTCTGCCTCCTGGGTTCAAGTGATCCTCCTGCCTCAGCCTCCTTAGTAGCTGGGATTACAGACTCCCACCACCACACCTGGCTAATTTTGTTGTTGTTGTTGTTGTTGTTGTTGTTGTTGTTTTTAGTAGAGATGGGATTTCACCATGTTGGTCAGGCTAGTCTCAAACTCCTGATCTCAGGTAATCCACCTGCCTGGGCCTCCTAAAGTGCTGGGATTACAGACGTGAGCCACCGTGCCCGCCCCAGTGCAGATTTCTTACATGCATGTATTGCATAGTGGTGAAGTCTGGGCTTTTAGGGTAACTGCCACCGGAATACCGAACATCGTACCCAATAGGTAATTTTTCCACCCTCACCCTTCTCCCACCCTCCCACCTTCCTCCCCTTAGTAGTCTCCAGTGTCTAGTGTTCCACTCTGCCTGTCCATATGTACTCATTGTTTAGCTCCCACTTATAAGTGGGAACATGTATTTGACTTTCTATTTCTGTGTTATTTCGCTTTGGGTAATGGCCTCCAATTTCTTCCATGTTGCTGCAGAAGAGGTGATTTCTTTCTTTTTTATGATTAAGTAGTATTCCATGGTATAATTATACCACATTTTCTTTAACCCTCCATTGATGGACACTTAGGTTGATTCCATATCTTTGCTATTGTGAATAGTGCTGTGGTAAACATACAAGTGCAGATTTTTTTTGATATAATGATATTTTTTCCCTTTGGGTAGCTATCCTGTAGTGGGATTGCTGGGTGGGATAGTAGTTCTATTTTCAGTTCTTTGAGAAATCCCATACTGTTTTCAATAAAGGTTGTACCAAGGTTCCTTCCCACCAACAGTGTAAAAGCATTCCCTTCTAAGTTTGTATTCTGAACTGCTCTATTATACTATCTTTTATTAAATTTCAACCTCTGAGAAACCCACAGATCTTATTTATAAGTTTTATCCAGTTCCACCTTCTGGCTCACCTGTGTCTTGCTCGTTTTGAGGGATACCCTCCAGCCTGAGGTTCTGCAATTCCTCCTGTCCTTCTGGGTACTTTGAGGTATCCTTCAACAATGTCTACCTAAGGACAAAATAATAAAAACAAAACAAAAACCACAAAAGCCAAAAATGAAAACCCAAAACAAACAAAAAATGTTTTAAGGCATACATAAAATTACGATTGATCATTTTACATTTTTATTACATGCGAGAACCTTAAAATCACTTAAAAGATGTATCTATGTTAATATTCAACATACATTAGGTGTAAATTACCTTGGGCTCAGTTCTGTGATCCACACTTAGGAAATACTAATTCATGTAGCCAAGGGAATGCAATTCTCCTTGGGACTATATGATGTGGGGGAATTAATTCTGATTTCTTCTGCCACAAGCAAAGTAAGTTTCCGGAAACTTGCTTTACTCTTGAAATCCATGACATATTCAGAAGTATTTAGGGGCCTTGCAAATTCCCTGCACAATTTTTTTAAAACAGGGAAAATCATAAAATCTCTAAGTAGCCACAATATCTGTTTGTTTATTGTTGTGGCTGTTTCACACTGACCTTAAGAAATCAGGCTCCCTTATAGTGCTTACTTTAATTAAAATTATTATATTAAGAAAGGAAAAGAAAATCAGTCTCTTAGATATTGTCACACAAAAGGCAAAATTGTTAGAACTCAGTAATTTGGTTGAAAATTTTAATAACTAATGAAAAATTTAAAAGAAAATTAAAATTTAAATACACAGTGATACACGTTGTTTTTAGATACACCTGTGTCTGCATTATGTGTCTGAGATTTTAAGTCTATACTAGACAAGATTTTTTAAACTTCTTCAATATAATGCTCTCAATTTTTGAAGATAATAAGATTGAAAGTTCATGCTTCTATATCATACTGTACTTTGACAATTAGAAAGACTAATAATCAGAATCCAATTTTTGTGTTTCTTAATTGATACAAACCTTTCCACATAAACTTTACTAATTTCTTTAGAATTTCCCTTCTCATCTAGATATTAATAATATTTGATTACATAGAAAATCCCCATTATATTATGGTTTATAAATGCATGGACTCAATGCCACATTTTCTAAAATGTGTTTTTTTAAAAGCATGATCTAATATATTAGCATGTTAATCAGGGTTCTTCAGAGAAACAGAATCAATGCGTTATTAATTTATTTATTATTAGGTACTTGTTCATGCAGTTGTGGAGGCTGATTTATCCCAAGATCTGCAATCCAAAGGCCTAAGAACTAGGAGAGTTGACAGTGAAAGTTCCAGTCTGAGTCCAAAGTCAAGTGATCTCTGATGTCCCAGCTCGAAGACTGTCAGGCAGGGAGAGTGAGTTCTTTCCTGCTCAGCCTTTTCTTCCATCCAGGCCTTTGGTGGATTGGAGGAGCCCATCCACACTGGAGAGGACAATCTGTCTTACCCAGTCTACTGATTCAAATGTTAACCTTATCCCTGAAACATGGGGGTTTTTAATCAAATATCTGGGCACCCTGTAGCCCAGTCGAATCAGTACATAACATTAACCATCACAATTACCTCTGTGTGAATTTCAGCGATGTGCCTATGGCCACTGCATACAATTTGTGCAGGCTGTGTACTTCACAAATTTAGGAAACATTATTCATCAAATTAGTCATCCAAAAGTCTTAAAGGTGCAGGCATTCTCCTCACTAATTTATGTAAAATTAATGTGTAGGCTAGATAGAGGATTGCCTTTACCTATCAAACTGTTATAAAAGGGTCTCCAAGTTATGATTTAAAAACGGCTCAGTGGCTCACATTTGTAATCCTAGCACTTTGGGAGGCCAAGGCAGGCAGATCACTTGAGATCAGGACTTTAAGACCAGCCTGGCCAACATGGTGAAACCCCCATCTCTACTAAAATACAAAAATCAGCGGGGCGTGGTGGCACGTACCTGTAGTCCCAGCTACTTGGGAGGCTGAGGTGGAAGAATCTCTTGAACCTGGGAGAGCAAGGTTGCAGTGAGACATGACTATGCCATTGCACTCCAGCCTGGGTGACAGAGAAAGACTCCATCTCAAAAACCAAACAAACAAAAAACCAACAAAATAAACAAACAAAAAACTCCGCTCCTACACAGTTAGTAAGATAATTAGGTAATCATCTTTACAGTAAAAAATATTCCCATTTCCTTTAAGACATATTGGAGATTGAGTTGCCTCTGTTCTTCATTTACTCATTCCTAGCTTAGTGATTAGTTTTTGAAATGAAATTGTATTCTTAATTAAGTATACAACGTTGCAATCTCAAAAAATATATGGTAACTTGTAACTTACAATATTAAAATGCTTCTGAAGGGCAACAACTTAAATATTTCCAAATAGAAAATGAAGAGAAAGAAGGAAAAATTAACTAAAATAATTTTACAGTTATTTTTTCAAGTCATTAATAATCAGTTTGCATAAACTATGGCAACAATGAGAAAAATCTAGTTTAATCAATTTTGAAAATTAGAGTCTCTCTCGTTTCTTTGTTTCGTTTTGTTTTTACAATAAACTTTTTTCTCAAACTTGTTTGCCATGTTAAAATAACTGGTGATTTGGAGTTCATTTTGTCGTGAAAATCATTGCACCGAGAAGAAAGAGTGTCTGGCTTGTCAGAGTATAAATAATGCAGTAATCTGGAACTGCCCCCCACCCCTTTGCGTCTAAGATGAAAGTTGTTGAATAGAAATAAAATCAATGACTTTGAATTCAAACTAATGGCTTCAGAAATCTTTGCAAAATGACCTCTTTTAGTGATCCAAAGGGTCTTATGAATTTTCATGGGAATAATATCTAGCCAGTAATTCCTAAATTTGATAACAAATTATCTTACATTTTAGTTCCTTTCTCACCTACTATCACTTTTGTTGAAAGATGACCCTAAAATTAACCTAAAAATAATCTGTCCTGCATCTCAGTGACGTGTATGTGTACCCTCACCTCATGCTCAAGATTTTTCTTTCTCTCTGGACTTCCTTATTTTCTCAAACTAACAAACTATCCTTGTTGTCATTCTGACTTAAGAGGTTTCCTTTATGCCTTTTTCTCATCTTCTCCAAAACCAGTAATGAGAAACTCATAGTTATTTTTCCTTGTCATTGATACCTCATTTTAATTCCCACTGTTATCATCTTGGTACTAGAACTCATTGCTTCACAGCAAGACGATTTTAATAATGTCTCAGCTGATCTTTCTTGATCTTGTTTCTGGCCTCTCCAATATTTTCTGTACGCCACTGCTTGCTTTATTCAGTTCATCTTTCTACTCAAAATCCATCCAGATTTCCTCATAATTAATAGAATAGCTTTCAGATTCCTTTCGATTTTCTTTAAGATTTTCCACACTCAGACTCCAATCTACTAATCTAACATACGGTTTGGCTCTGTATCCCCACCCAAATCGCATCTTGAATTGTAATTCCCACAGGTCAAGGGAGGGAGGTGGTTGGATTTGGGGGACAATTTCTCCCAAGCTGTTCTAGTGATAGTGAGCAAGTCTCAGGAGATCTGGTTGCTTGATAAGTGTGGGGCTCTTCCCTCTTTTTGCTCTCTCTTCTTTCTCACCTGCTGCCATGTAACATGTGCCTGCTTCCCCTTCTGCCATGACTGTAAGTTTCCTAAGACCTCCCCAGAAATGTGGAACTGTGAGTCAATTAAACCACTTTTCTTTATAAATTACCCAGTCTTGGGTATTTCTGTATAGCAGTGTGAAAACGGGTTAATACAGTAACATCATTGATTGGCTCACTCAGAAGACATTTTTAAGAGTTACTCTGTGCCAGGGGCTGGTGCTGGGAACTTGATGCATAAAGTTAAGGCGTATGATTATTGGTCTTGACAAGCTCACAATGCTTCTCAGCAAGAGGATCTTAGAGGCTGGTAATGCTTTCCATTACCCCCTCCCCAATTTCAAGTGCTATTTTTTCATTTAGTAACTAGTTCATTTCTCATTTTTTTCCATGAAACCTTCTTTAACTATCCCAGTCCATTTTGATTGCTTCCTCCTCTGAACTTTTATCTTATTACATTTACTTATGATAATCTAGATCACTTGTTCTTAACTGAGGTGGACTTTGCTCCCCAGGAGATGTTTAGCAATTTCTGGAGACATTTTTAATAGTCAGAACTGAGAAGGGGTGTGCTATTGGCATGTAATGAATAGAGGCCAAGGATACTGCAAAACGTTCAAAAACATGGGGACAGCACCCCACAACAAAGAATTATCGGGCCCCAAGTGTCAATCAATAGTGCCAGTTAAGAAACCCTGATCTAGGTAGTTGTTATCTATATATAAGCCTTATTTCCAATTATGCTGTAAACTTATTGAAGTAGAAACCATTTATTTTTCTATAGATTTTTCTTTCTTTTTAAAAACATAGTGTAGGCTGGGTGCAGTGGTTCACGCCTGTAATCCCAGCACTTTGGGAGACCAAAGCAGGAAGATTGGTTGAGCCCTAGAGTCCGAGACCTGCCTGGGCAACATAAGGAGACCCCATCTCTACAAAAACTGAAAACATTAGCTAGGCATGGTGGCATGTAGTCCCAGCTACTCAGGAGGCTGAGGTCGGGGGATTGATTGAGCCTGGGAGGTCAAGGCTGCAGTGAGGCATGTTTCTACCACTGCACTCCATCCAGCCTGGGTGACAAAGTGAGACCCTGTCTCAAAAAACATGGTGTAGTGGGTTGAATGGTGGCCCTCCTCCACAAAAGATATGTCCACATTAAATCCCTGGAACATGTGAATGTTACCATATTTTGAGAAAGGGTCTTTGTAGATGTAATTAAGTTAAGGGTCTTAAAAATGAAGATATCATCCTGGATTATTTAGACAGGCACCAAATTGAATGATAGACAATAAATAGAAGGACAATAAATGATCCTTGTAAGACATACAAAGAGGAGATGCATAGACAGGAGAGACACACACAGAGAGAGGAGGAAATGTGAAGATAGAAGCAGAGACTGCAGCCATGCAGCCACAGCCCAACACAGAGGTGAGGAGAAAAGAGAGACGGAGATGGAAATGATGTGGCTACAAGCCAAGGAAGACAAAGATTGCCAGAAGCCACCAGAAGCTGCAAGAAACAAGGAAGGAGGATTCTCCCCCAGAGCCTCCAGAGAGACTGCAGTCTGCCAAAACTTTGCTTTTGAACTTCTTGCCTTCAGAACTGTGAGAGAGTAAATTTCTGCTATTTTAAGCCACCAGGTTTTCAGTAATTTGTTATGACAACCTCAGGAAACAAATACACCTAGTAGCTACAATGCATTATTTACCCATAGTGGGTGGTTAATGAATATTTCATATTTATAATGAAAACTATCTTTCTTCTTTGTAGAAGTTCAATTACGCATTTTTACAAAAATTGATCGAATTAATATTCTTGTACTTCGATATAACTTTCCTCAGTTAAACTGCTAGATGTATCAGCACAGGCATACCACCTGCTCACATGAGAAGCCACACAATGCAAATATCAGATGCCAATGCAAATCCATTTGTGTAAGTAGTCATTAATTTATTTAAAATATACTCCATGTAGATATACTTTAATGAAAACTTAACCTACTCTGCTATACTCATTAGCTATAAAATATAATGTTATACTTTAGAAGCTGGTTGTGTTTAATGTAGCTTGTAGCAACATCAGCTTTAATCTCTAGATGGCACTATGTTATAAGGAATCAACCCAAAATCTGATATTACAATTTTCATATAACTCTTCTTGGAAATGAAGAAAACTGTCCTGCTAAAAATCTGAGGAATTATATTCCATACACTGAAAGTCTCATTTTACTAAGTATGGTTAGGTTTCTAATTTATACATTACTGTGGGATAAGGAAAGATAATAGGGGAATTGAGTTCTTAAAACATTATAGTCAACAGTAAAAAATATATCATAAAAGTTGTTCACTTATGCTTTTGGATTATTTTGTGTACATTTTGTTGGAAAATTGTATATAAACAACAGAGCCAGCACTGGGGTTCTTACATGAGAATGTCCATATAACCTAACACTTTATCTTTGATAGTTATAGGTGAAGATTAATGAACTACTTTTCACTTTAGCTTAAAATATAAACAAGATAACACTTTTGCTTTTTTAACTCATTATTGAAATTCCAACTTTGGTCTCAGTAGAAAGAGAAAAAGCTACTTGTATCATCTTTTTCTTAATTCTCTTTTTTACATTCCTGACCTCTCCTCTGAAGAATATATTTTGCCTTGAGTCTCCAGTGACTTCTAGGGATTTAAAAAATTCTTTTAACTTCCTGAAGCCTTTAGTAATGAGATTTTTCTCTATTTGCATATGTGGTAAACTCAATGGAGGCAATCAATAATCTCTTATCTTGGGCTTCTTCACTTTCACAGCATTTTGAACCACTCCTAAAGTACATCTATTCATTTATTGTTTTGTATTTTAATTATCTGCAAATAGGCCTTACCATCTCTACAAAATTATACATTCCTGGGGAGATGGCATCCTGACTACCTTTATCCACATGCTACGTGTTTAGTAACTTCCTATTGAATTAAATGGATTTAGTAGCATACAACATTATCCTATTCAAAGTAAAAATAAAAGCTAATTTGTAAGTTGACCTTCAAAAACCCCCAAAACATCAGAGTATCTTTTATTGAAGTATAAAATGAAGGTTTCAAGTAAAATTACATATACTTTTCTTCGTCAGATCAATGATTTATGGATTAGTTTTTGGGTAAAATTTGAGTACCTTCAAAACCAGTTTGTTTGAATTTTTGTACTCTCTAAGTACAAATAGAAAAATAATCTCTATCATCACCCCTACCAATACCATTCCCTCAACCTTTACTCTTCCTTCAGATCTCAACTTATCTGCCAATTCTTGCAGGAACAATTCTTCCGTCTTCAGAGAGATGCCACGTTTGTGTGTTCCTAAGTCATACCACCCTTCCCCTATTATAGCACAAAATTAGACTTTCATTGCTTATTTCTTCGTCTATGTCTTTTACTAGTCTTAAATTTCAAAAGAACAGGAACCATGTGTATTTTATTTACTCTTACAAGCCCAGGAGCTAGCACAAAGCCTGCTGCATCTTAATCCACACCTGTGGATGAGGGCAGACGGAATGATTTCAGGATGAAAGGAAAACCTTTACATTGTTTACTTTACAAATATGTTGGGATATTTATGAAGTGCCAAGCACTTGTGTATTCTGGACACAAACGATAGAGCATTGAGCAAGGCAGAAACTTCCCCTGCCTCTCATGGAGCTTCCATTTTAGTGGGGCAAAGACAGGCAAGTCAACAAATAAATACATAAGTGAGAAAGTGAATACAAAATAATTTGTATTAAAAAAAGCTAAAAATATTAATAAACAAATAAGTATGTAACATATATAACTTAGTTAAGTACATGTGATAAAGAATGATGGAGGCCAGGTGTGGCGGCTCATGCCTGTCGTTCCAGCACTTTGGGAGGCTGAGGCGGGAGGATTGCCTGAACCCAGGAGTTTGAGACCAGCTCATGATAATTTGAAATAAAAGATGATGGTACTTAATTATAGCACATTGAATTAAAAATATGCAGGGACATTAGTAATACTTGGTAATAAGAAAGAAGGAGAAAAGAAAGAGGGGGCCAGGCAGGGTGGCTCATGCCTGTAATATCAGCACTTTGGGAGGCTGAGGCAAAAGGATCTTCTCAGCTCAGGAGTTTGAGACCAGGCTGGGCAACACAGCAAGACCTCATCTCTACGAAACATTAAAAAAAAAAAAAATTAGCCAGGTATGGTAGCACATTCCTATAATCCCAGCTACTCTGGAGGTTGAAGTGGAAGGATCACTTGAGCCCAGGAGTTGGAGGGTGCTGTGAGCTAAGATTGTGCTATTGCACTCCAGCCTGGGTGACGGCGTGAGATCCTACCAAAAATAAATAAATGAATAAATAAATAAAAGTGATGAAGGCCTTTCCAAGGAGATACAATTGAGGCAGAATCTGAATGAAGTGGATGAGGGGAAGGGTATCTGTGTGTGTTTGTGGAAGGACATCTCCTTCAGAGGGCAGTTAATGTGAAGGGCATGGAAGCAGAAGTTTGCTTGGTGTTTTCCAGGAACAGGCGTGAGGCTGGAGTGCATGAACAAGAGCAGCAGAGTGTGGTTGGAGATATGGCTGGAGAGGAAACCTGGTGTCAGATAATGAAGAACCTTGTAAAACCTGACAATAACTTTGGATTTCACTGGCTATGGGAGGTCCTTGTACTGAGGTGGTGGTGATGGCGGTAGTGGGCATAGCCAGATTTGGTTTATATTTGAGTTGGAGCTGTCAGAATTTGCTGATAAATGTGGAGTATGAGGGAAAGGGAGGCATTAAAGATAACTCCAGGTTTTTGGTGAAGGCAACTGGAAAAATGGAGCTGCTGTTTATTGAGACAGATAAGAAGTAGAGGTTTTAACTTTCTGAAGCAGACACAGGGAGAGGGAGGCTTTTGCTTTGAAGGTAGGAGCTATATCAGTGTGTGTGTATGCTAAAGGAAGTGATCCTCAAGTGTGGGAATGATTAAAGGTGCAGAAAAGAGGGGATAATTACAGGAGTGCTCCTTTATTTGGTGAGAAGAGCTATGAACCCGTACAGGTGAAGTGGTTGCCTTAGATAGTTCACCCCATGTGCAAGGAGGAGCTGTAAGGGTATAAAAGTCAGATGCAGAAAAACTGGTATATTTGAAGCTGGGAGTACATCAAAGCTGTTTTTGATGCCTTCTATGTTAATTGATGAATCAATAAAGATGTAATGTTTCTGAGTTATTGCAGGAGGCTATGAAGAAACCTTGAGTAGCCTGGCAGCCTAAGGGTAGGTTCTGAAGCCAGAGAGATTTAGGAATTGATTCTCAGGTCCTCCGCTTAGTGGTTGTGCAGTTTTGGAAAAAGTAATATCTCCGAGTCTCATTTAGAAAAAGAGAAAAAGAAAAGGCCACCATTTATGAGCCAGTCGACCATCTGAGAACCAGGAATTTGTGTTAAAGCTTTACATGAATTATTTCATTTCATCTTTATAACATATATATAAACCAAGTATTATTTATCTCCATATCTTGATGATGTGAAAAACCAAATTTGGGAAGGCTATAAGGATCTTGATTAGGACCACATATCGGATGAGTGACAGAGGCAAAATGCCTCTGGGGAGGCAGACCCCAGATCTCATGCTCTTAAATACTAAATTAAATTACTCATTAATAAACATCATGGAAATATCAGCCTTTGAATGAAATATCTGAAAATGTCTAGGACAGCTTTGGGTCTCCTCCATCATATGCCGGTGCTAGGCAAAATTCTGAGATGGCCCTCAATGTTCTCTGCCCTCTGGTGCATGTAGCCTGTATAGCCCCTGGATTTGTGAATACGAAGATTTCGGTCTGTAATTATATTATGTTCTATGGTACAGTTGACCTTTAAAAAGGAAGATAGGCCAGGTGCGGTGGCTCACACCTATAATCCTAGTACTTCAGGAGGCTGAGTAGGAGGATTGCTTGAGCCCAGGAGTTTGAGACCAGCCTGGACAACATGGCAAGATCCTGTCTCTACAAAAAAAATTAAAAATTAGCTGGGTGCAGTGGCACACGCCTGTGGCCCCAGCTACTTGTGAGGCTGAGGCAGGAGGATCACTTGAGCCCAGGAATGCAAGGCAGCAGTGAACTATGATCACACCACCGCATACCAGCCCGATTGACAAAAATGTATGTGGCCTCAAGGACCACACAATGGCCCTGGGTGGCCTCTAGGAGCTAGAAAACCCTCGGCTGACAACCATCAAGGAAACGTGGACATCAATCCCACCGCCACAAGTAGCTGAATTCTTCCACTATCCTGAATAGCTTAGAAGTGGAATTTTCCCCAAAGCTTCCAGATAACAACTCCATTTGGCCAACACCTCAATTTCAGTCTTGTAAGAACCTGAATAGAGAACTCAGTCACAGACTTCTGACCCACAGAACTGTGAGCTAATAAATGGCCATGGCTTCAAGTCACTACAATTGTGGTAATTTACCACGCAGCAAGAGAAGCATAATACAATATCTCAAAGATTGTTGTGATGATCAAGTACCCAGTATTCCTACTTACTTATCAAATGGAGGTAGGAGACCAGCAGCACTTGTTTTCTGGTCAGAATTCTGCTGACCAAAACAGGATCTGGTCTAGACAGGATGAAATGAAGAAACTGTCAGGAACCAGCAGATGATGAAAAAAGAGATCCCAAGGTGCTCATTGCTCATTAGCATAAGACACTCCTATCAGCACCATGACAGTTTACAAGTGTCATGGCAATGACCTGGAGTTACCACCCCTTTTCATGGCAACAACCTTGGCATTACCACCCCATTTCTAGAAAGTTCTAAATAACCCACTCCTCAATTTGTATCAACCTACCCCTTAATTTGCATGCAATTGGAAGTGGATTTACGTGACTATAAATGCGGTTACCAAGAGCCCATATGTGGCCAACTCTGGGCGCACTGCCTCCGAGTTAGCCCTGCTCTACAAGGGGCAGTACCATTCAGTGAAAAAGTGCTCTCTAACACCACTGGCTTACCCTTGAATTCGTTCCTGGGTAAAGCCAAAAACCCTCCCTGGCTAAGCCCCAACTTGGGCTTGCCCATCCTGCAACAAAACCATAGTAATTTTCTTGAGAAAGCATTCATTTTCAGTCAGATTTCATTCACTTGAGAATGGAGATCTAAAATAGCAGAAAAGCCTCAAAAGAGCAACTGGTATGGGAAGCTGAACAGATCTGGAAGAAAGCCCAGATGTGAGGAACACAGGAGGAGGTGGTGTGTTGGAAACCCACACATGAGCCATGGGGAAATAGGAGTGGCTATTAAGGATCCTCAGCAAGTTCACACTCCAGAGGTTCTTGCTGTGGAACCTAAGGCTGAAACTAAAAGGTGGTTCTTACAGTGGAGGGAAGGTATTTAGGGTGGATAGAGCCAAAGCAAACTTGTGTGGTTGCATTTCACACTGGCTTTGCCCTTAATATATATTTTTTTCTAATTAGACTCTAATATTTAGTCACCTAGGTTCAAAGCAATGCCATTATTTTTGTTGCTGTTGTTCTTGTTTTTGAGATGGAGTCTTGCTCTGTTGCCCAGGCTGGAGTGCAGTGGCGCGATCTCGGCTCACTGCAAGCTCGGCCTCCCGGGTTCACGCCATTCTACTGCCTCAGCCTCCTGAGTAGCTGGGACTACAGACACCCGCCACCACGCCTGGCTATTTTTTTTTTTTAGTAGAGACGGGGTTTCGCTGTGTTAGCCAGGATGGTCTCAATCTCCTAACCTCGTAATCCACCCGCCTGAGCCTCCCAGAGTGCTGGGATTACAGGCGTGAGCCACCGCGCCAGAGCAATGCCATTATTTTTAAGTCAGTCCTTCTACAAGTCATTGAGTCTGATTAATGATGCCTTCAAATATTTCTTACATTTCCATTTCTTCTACTTGCTCCTTATATTAAAACTTTGTCTTCTGGTAATTGGTTTGCTGTTGCAAACACTTCCTTGGCCATTACCCAGGCCATTTCTGTGCATCAGACTGGTCTTACCCAAACCTTTCACTCCTCGTGGCATTTCCTTGCTCGTACCTTCTCTGCCCAGGACTCTATCTTGCCTAGAACTTTGAGTCTTTTGGTCTGTCTCGATTCATGTATGAGGAAACTGAAGTCAATGCAGTGCACTTGTTAGAGCAGCAAACAGGGCCAAAGGAAGGCCTAGAACAAGATCTCCTGATTTAGCTCAGTGTTTTTCTCCATTACACTATTCATACTTCTCACAATGGCTTCAAGGCTTTTCTCATTTATTTCTAGCCTTACCCCTCCACCTTTGCTGTCTTTACTCCTCATTGTGAATCATCCACTCCAGGCAGCCCCATTTCCCATCTGTCCTGTGAATGTGTCAGACTTACCTTATTCCACCCAGTGGATGCCCTCTTTTCTCCTTTGCCTTTCTAATGATGGTGTTTATGCTTGCCTGTCACTCTACCAACACAGATTTCTTCTTTCTCTGAATTCTGCCAGCATTCACTGTTTGTATCACTCATTAAAACATAAAGTTTACAAACCACCTTATTTGGTTGTAAATGTTTCATGGGTGCCTGTCTTATTTTCCAAGAAGATTATACATTCCCAGACGATATCCATGGTTTCCCTTTTATTTGTCGCCAGCTCTATGCCTTGTACAGCATAAATAAATAATATATTGAACTAAATTGGTCTTAGTGTTCTGCACTGTTTACAGATTAAATCATGAACATTTACTGAGGGCCTATTAGGTATTAGTCAGGGGATAAATCTCTCCTCAAAAGGAGCCCACACTCTAATGGGGAATTTAGGCAAGTGAATTGCTCCAAAGTTGTATGATAAACACATTGTGTGGAGAGTTTTGAGGTTATGCTACTCCAAATACCAATCCAATTATTACAGAAAAGTGAGATGTCATGGCTGGTCTTGCTCTTGGCATGGCTTTTCTCCAGATGAGACTGATGATTCATGCAGGGATTTTATCCATGCTACATGTTACATTAGTTCCATGCTGTAGACAGTTGAACACACTCAGAGAACTAAAATATATTGCAGCAAAGCCACATTTTAAGGACTTTGCTGTAGCGTGGATTCAATTATTCTGGGTAAATAACCTATCTGATTAGATGCCCTACTGTATTTTCATTTGCAAAGTTCTCTGATCCAGATCCAGTTAATTAAAAATCGATTTTCAACCTGATCTTTTTCATTTTAAACAAATATGCCCTTACCATCTTGTGAACAATTTAAAGTTTGGAATGTTGGCCCTTCAGAAACATGTTGAACTTCATTATAATAAATTATGTTGCTTTGACACTGGCTACAAATGACAACAAATCTTTTTCACATAATACTTTCTAAAAAAGCAAAATAAATAAATAAATAAATAAATATAAATGAGAAAGACTGAAAAGTCCAGTTGACAAATTGCAACCGGTCTGCACTAGGATAATTTAGTACATCATTCAGTATCACTGAAATGTAAAGGAGCTTTGTTAGGATTTAAAAAATTGAGGACTTGGATTCCTACCCAGTTGCAGTAACACAGGGTAGCATTGTTAGTTCTGATTCAAGTGCAACTGATCAAAAGGTTATTGAATATTCCTTGTCTCTCTGCCAACTCTGAATGTCTTCTCCCTGACTGGAATATTTGGATCCTGTTGTTCATTAATGCTTATCTTACATTCCACTCACTATCATTATCTACCTTTCTCAGTAATTAGCTAATTATATTTTGAGATAATTAGTTTAATGAAAGTGTGGGAAGTATGCAGTAAGAATCTAAGTGATACTGTCATGACCTCTACATGTAGATTAAGCAAAAAGTAAGGGACACAAAATATACAAAAATAAGGAACACTTACAATATTATGCAAGTTCAAACGATGGTGTGTACTTTAGTGAAATATCTCAGATAAACTCTAGTCTCCTTTTTGTTTCTATGACTCCTTGAGAGTATATAATGGTCCATTGCATGTTAGAGATATGAAATTATTGTTTCAAGCCATTAAGGCAGCTTTTTGGCCCTATAGTGGTAATTTATGTGTTTTGTTTATGGATTTCTCAAATACAAATAAAGAAATGCAGGAATTTAGGAAAATGAAGTGAAATAAGATGAGTAAAGTAGTTTTCTTAGTAGAGGCAACATAGCCACACTTGTAGAACTCTATTCTTTAAAAAAGAGCATATTAAAAAAAAAGAGCAAGTTGAAAGTAAAACTAAATGCTTATTTATTACCTTGTGATCTATTTATTTGTAGCTGTGTATGTATGAATTTATGTATGTATGTCCTTGAATGTGGCACTTTGCAGTTTGCTATGGAAGAAAAAAAGAATATTAGACACGATTTCCATCTATAAGGAGGTTATTCCTCCTTAATGGCAGTTATGAGAACGTACCTCTCAGTTCCCCAACTCTGGGGGTATTGAGTATGACTGACTGTGTTAGTCCATTCTCTCACTGCTACGAAGAAATACCCGAGACTAGGTAATATATAAAGGAAAGATGTTTAATTGACTCACAGTTCCACATTCCAGGGGAGGCCTCAGGAAACTTACAATCATGGTGGAAAGCAAAGGAAAAGCAGGCTTCTTCTTCGCAGGGCGGCAGGAAGGAGTGAATGCAAACAGGGGAAATGCCAGACGCTTATAAAACCATTAGGTCTCATGAGAACTCACTATCACGAGAACAGCATGGAGGAAACTGCCTCCATGATCCTATTATCTCCATCTAGTCCCACCCTTGACACATGGGGATTATGGGGATTACAACTTGAGGTAAGATTTGGGTGGGGACACAAAGCCAAACCATATTACTGACCAAGGACCTCTGCTGTTGTGCTTTGAAGGCCATCATTGCCACATTTGCACTGTGCATAAGGAAAATGATACACTTATCACAGCCTTCCAAGCTACACTTAAATTCTCTACACTTCCTAGTGACTGTTCTCAGCCGATAACTGAGTACAGTTGAGATACTAAAACAGCTTATTCCCAGAAAACATGAGACTCCTAAGATAGCCCAATTTGGATTACGGACTCTCCATGAATATTACTGGACCTTCCTCTGACTGCATCACAGTCTAAGATGATTCCACCCAAGCTTCCTTCCCACTCTTCTTCCTTCGGGATCAGACTTGCATTGTATGTGAATAGTTCTTCCAGCCTCCCCTGGCTTGCCCCTTATTTTCCTGTGCAGGCACATTTTCCCCAGTAAAAATCCTCACTTGCTTAATCTTGTCTTGACATATTATCTTGGAGGACACAGACTAACATGCTAGATGAAGAAATCAAATATTACTCAGGAAAAAATTAAAAACAACATTATCAGTAAGTACAAAAGAAGAGGAAATGGACAACACAGTGGAAGAGGTCACAAAATGACATAAAGTACTTGATTCAGATAGGTAAAAAGGGGCTGATATAGAAATTATAATGCATAACATATTTTGGGAATGGTAGGCATCCTAATTGAATGGAATACGGAAGAACTGAGGATATGTTGGAAAGGTTTATTGAAGTCAGATTATGGAGGAACTTGAATACCATGCTGAAGAATTTGGCTGGTCTTTTTTCTCTACATTTCTTTTGAAAATGTGGCAGCAGTGGAGCTCCAAGGATTTGAGAATGCTGGACACCAGCTGGCATTTTCTTTCTCAGACTATCAGTATAGAGGCAGGACTAATGTCTAGTGGAGTTCAGCAGCCCAGGAAGAAAGCTGTGAAAAGGAATTTTAACTCTGGACTGGGATTTGCAATCCTAACCCCTTTGTAGTTTCCCAGTGAGCTAAAAACATAACTACACATGCGTGCAACAGATTGCTTTTGAGAATCAGATTTCAGTTCTGCACAAGAACAAGCAAAGGAGCTTCTTTCACTTCTTTCTTCTAGAAATGTGGTAACAATGAGCAGTTATGGGGCTAGAGTTGAAAGGTTTTGATTGGCAATCCAAAATAGGGTTTGTTTGGCAATGAATGTGCTTAAAAAATGCAGAAATTTAACATTAAAATATAATTTTATGACCGTCCTTGAATAATGAGTTTATGTGAACAAATTTTTATTCTTGCATGGTCACAAAACTAGATTTGAGTAGCAATCCCTCTGTTTAGATAGGGTAAGCATTCTTTGGTGCACCACAATCCCCGCTCAACCCTATCGTCTAACATCTGTTTCATGTTGTAAATCTATAGTCCTGTCCAGTGTTTGTAATTTTTGAGTGTATGACCCCAATCTAAACCTACACTTAAACTTCCGCTTTTTAGATCCTCCCACATTAGAGTGGAAGCCTCATACCAGCTCAGTCACATGGGCAGGGTGTTTTGATTTTGGGCAATTACTTTGTGTATATGAGTTAAAACAGCTGAAATGCATTGGATGCCAGGGAAATTTGCTGTGAGATTTTCTTGTTGATCAAGACATAGAAGGCTAACATTTTCTACTAAGCTCCAAGAGGAATGAATTGACGATCATGGCAACTGAGCTTCCATGCAATGATTGTTGAGAACAATGGCTGGGGAGTCTCGCTCCAAGGAATAACCTGAATACTTTCTTCCTCTACAGGTGCTGAGGAACATCAAGCATTACCTGAAAACAAGTGCTCTCAAACTATTCAATGTTATCACGTTATATGTCTATGTTATGTGAGAGCTTGCATAATCTTCCTCTAAAGGTTCAAAAACTTTTATTTAAAGACCACAGGAGCCACCCACTCTGTGTCTCAAACCACGAGGCTCATACTTGATTTCTGTAGTCATGGCACCTACCTTACAGATCCATAGATTGGAAATCAGCAAACTTTTTCTATGAAGTAGCAGATAATAAACATTTCCAGTTTTGTGGGCCATACAATCTTTGTCACAACTATTCAACTTGGCCCTTATAGTGTGAAAGCATTCATAGACATTATGTAAATGAAGGAGCGTGGTTGTGTTCCAATAAAACTTTATTTACAAAAACAGGCCGTGGATAGGATTTGGCCTGCAAATATAGTTTGCCAACACTGCCACGGAGCATAAGGAAAAGGATACACTTATCACAGCCTTCCAAGCTACAGTTAAATTCTCCAAGAATTTAGGAAGTGTTAAAACTCCAGCCACCACTCCATGTATTCCAGGTCCCTTCCCTCTCTGGTTAAAATGTAAGCTTCTCCATATTTCTACAATCTGCTTCCAAGAAAACTCTCATTTTTTTCTTCCTAACTTGCTCATGAACTCTCTAAGAATTTTGTCCTTCCTAAGCCTCTGTAGTTTCTTGGCCTTACCAAAAGCCTGGTTCTCCCCCTGAGTACACCACCTCTATAGCCTGTGTAAGTGAATGGAACATCCGGAACCTGGACTTTCAGGTCATTGACCCACTCATGCTCCAATAGTTGAGCTCTGGCGACTCCTGACAACCTCCTCTGACATTTCCATTGCCTATATTATTTCCACATTTCTATCTGCAGTCTTGACAAGAATTTCAACTTGTTTATCCTACTGCATGACTGATATCCTTTTAGAGACCTAACAAAGAACCCAAACTTAGTATTTCCAGAACAGAATTTATTATTGCTGCCCCTAAATCTGCTCCATCTTTGTCTTTTCGCCTCTGAAAATGACTTCACTTGACCCTCATTGCCTTAGTCCCAAGCTTATCTTGTTCTCTTTTTCTTATCTCCCACCTCCAAGTCATGAAAGCATATTCCAGCTCTCACCTTGTCATTGTCACTCTTTAGACTATTCTACCTTCCTCTCTTCCCTGGATCACTGGAATGACTACCAGCAACCTGATATCCCTGAGGCCTACTGTTCACAGTCTACACAAAGCAGCCAGAATTGACTTCGAAAGCACGAAGTAGATCACTCCTCCATTTTAATCTTCTGACATGAAAAAAAAAAAAAAGGAGCAAACTCCATGTATTTTTCTATTAGGCTGTACACAATATGGCCTGTGTCACTTGGATGTCATTCTTGTTTATTTTATTTTATTTATTTATTTATTTTTTTGAGATGGAGTCTTACTGGTCTCCCAGGCTGGAGTGCAATGGTGCAGTCTCGGCTCACTGCAACCTCTGCTTCCTGGGTTCAAGTGATTCTTCTGCCTCAGACTCCCGAGTAGCTGGGATTACAGGCACCCGCCACCACGTTCGGCCAATTTTTGTATTTTTAGTAGTGATGGGGTTTCACCATGTCAGAAAGGCTATTCTCGATCTCCCGACCTCAAGTGATCTCCTGCCTCGGCCTCCCAAAGTGCTGGGATTACAGGCGTGAGCCACCGAGCCTGGCCGCATGTCATTCTTAATCACTCTTCTCCGTGTTTGCTCCCCGTAGTGCCATGGGCCTTCTCTCCATTCTAAGCTCATTCTCAACTTAGTGCATCTGCACTTTTGCTCTGTCATCTTTCCAAATTGTTTTTCCCTTCATGTTTCAAAGCAGAATATTCCTTGTCATTCAGATTTTAACTTAAATGGAGTCTCCCAGAGATCCTGATCCCTCAATAGAAAGTAGGCACCCTGTCCTTCTGTATCCCTTCACCGTGGTTTAATTTTCTCTGTGGTATTCATCACGCTCTTCGCCATTTTATCTATGTTTCTTTTATGGCTCCTCCGGTAGAATGTGAGCTTCAAAGGAACAATAATTGTCTGCTTATTCAATTACGTTGGGTCCTTAGTCATCACCCCTTCTAGTTTTCTCTCCTTGGTTTTGGTTGTAAATTATCTTGATGATCATTTCAGCAACTTTCCTGCCAATTGTTCAGGCCTCTTTCTTTTCATCACACCGTTCTGCCAAGTCGTCATCCCTGGATAATCTAACTTCTACCCACTCTGTGCCACTAGTCTGCCTGATAAGACTTGCTGTAGAAAATTACATAACCAAGATTGGTACCATTATAAATTAACAGTCATCACTTCCCCTGGGCTCTCATTGTTTCCTTGCATTCTTAATATATTTCCCAATTGGCTCATGTTGGTGTGCATCACAACAGTTATTTCAAATCTCCACCCCTTCACTCTCACCAAATGACCTCACCCCGATTCCATTTAAACAAAGTCCCAAGAGAGGTGCTTTTACACCTTCCACTACCAAACCTACAAATCTTCCTTTCTTCCTTCCCTCCTGTCATACTGGCAGAGGTGGTTCTTTCTTGGATGTAGCTGCACTTTTATTTTTGCTTTGGACACTATCCTTTCCCCTCTTTCAGGATCTTGCCCTGTTAGTTATTTTCTGCTCTGTATCAGACACTTCCCCCTCTTACTGGCCCTTCCTCACTCATTGTTCTTGATAGGTTGAATTCATTTTCAGTTCCTGGCCTCCATCAACCTTACTGTCTTTCTCGCTCTTTCCTTTTTCTCCCTCTTATGGGATTTCTAGCAGCTTCCTCTGCTTGCATCATTCCCTCTTCTGTTCCTCAGTGCCCCTTCCCCTCATATCATATGGCTGATTCCCTTTCCTGCAGATTTTAGCTTAGATGCCAATTCTTCAAAGTGGTGTTTTCTTTCTGCAGACTATATTAGGGCCCTTATTATTGCTTCTATCACATTTTTATTTTCCTTTTTAAACCCCCATCATAGTTGTAATTATTTGTTTAATATCAGTTTTCCTTGATCAGGGAATGAATGCTCCATGAGGGAAGGGACTGTGAGTATCTTGTTCGCCACCCGATATTTGTACCTGACACAGCACTGGTATTCACGCAGTGGCTATTTTTTGGATGAATGAATACAAGAAAAAGGAAAGGGAGGAGAAAGAATGACAAAGGAAAAGGAAGAACAACCAAAAGAAAAGCACACCCAAAAGCCTGAAGTTGATAAGACTGTATCTATTTCATACTTCCTTTCACTAGAGTCACCCTATGGCTCCCAATAGATGGGAGGCCCTGGCCTTCCTATCAGGTAGGTGGTCCAGTCTCACTTCATTACCCATATGGGTGATAAGCATTCTAAGGTAGCTCCAAGCTCCTCCAGCCTGATGTGCTTAATACTGCATCTCCTAGTATTGTTGCCCAATGAGTCTGATGTGTACTCAGACCTCCATGAGGGTGGATTTGGTGTGGGGATAGGGAGAAGTATGTTGTGCTCCTCTTAGTGGTCATGACCCCTAACAAGGAAGTTTTGGGTGGAGGGGAGAGATAAAAGTTTGTAGGGGTAGACTAGGCTAATAGGAGGATATTGCAATGATGAAAAACGAGGTGATAAGGATCTATGTTAGAGCAGTGAGAACTCTGGCTTTATACTGCTAATCATGTGTATACTACTGAATATTAACACACAGCTTAAAAATCACTAAAAACAGAAGACTAATTCAAACAGTTGTGTTCTTGTGTGTTTCCGCCTAGGGAGATTAGGCTAAGAAATTAATAAAATAAAAATAAAAAGCTAATTTGAACATGTCAAATTGGGTTAGTGAATAACAAGTACCTTGTTTTAAACAAAGGAGGACGTATTCAAAATATCAGATTACTGTTTTAATTAGTAAGTAGGGTTAAAAGAAAAAAAGAGAGAAAAGAAACAAAAAAATCCCTTTAGAATTCAATTATAGAATCTTCTTAGATAAATGCTATGTGAATTTGATTTTCCTTTTATAATCTTTACCGTGTCACATAAAGAGTAGCAGATGACATAAGCAGATGGACTTGTGTTATCTGCTACTGCTTAAAACCTTCTCTAACATTTTTTTGGCCATATTCGTAAACATAGGGTATGGTAGAACTAACTTACATCTGTTTAAAATCCTTAGTAACTTCTGTTAAAATTTATTTTAGTAAGTTATAACATGGCAAGGCTTTTCTTTTTTTATTATGGACAATATTCTATCCATTTTAGAAATAAAGTCTGAGGTATATTTCAATACTTCTAGATAACTATAAGTTTGAAAAAGGAAATGTGCCTTTGCTTGAGCTTTCATATGGGTGAGCATTCCTAAGGAAATCATTGATTTTGGATGGCAGTTTCAATTCATGGAGGAAAAGGGAGAAAGAGATGGAGATTCTTGTTTTAATTCATAATTTCTACAGCTTTTCACAATTTTCAAAGCATTTTAGTACCATCAATTTCATTCTTTACCTAGGTGTGGCATTTTGATAAGTAATATGTTTTTCAAATGAGCAGAAAACAAACCACTCTCTGTTTACATTACCTTCATTAACTTTATCTGAGAAAAGAATGCAACAATCACCACTCCTTACTTGGTAAGAATTTGCCTGATCATAGTTAAAGCAACCACAGGGAATTTCTTGAGCATTGTACCCAGGAAATGTCACACAGAGTCTTAAGAAATCTTAAATAATTAACCTTAATGAAAGGGATAGGTTAATGCTTTTGTAGTTATTGTTCAGGTTATGACCAAATTCAAATCTAATGAAATTTATGTTTACTCCAGTTAATTTTTAAAGAAAATTATTTCTTAAAACAGGACCTGTAATAAATGTAGTTAGTTGTAGAACTAAACAGCAGTAAGAAATATACTTTCTGAAATAATAGTCATAACTTTCAAGTTCTGATTATATGACTAGTTTTCTTTATTTTAGAACGAATCTGATGACTTTCTAAAATTGTCTTAAAAAGCAAGATTTAAAAACTAGAAGCTGAAAGCCTCAAAGAAGCTCCAGGTCAGATGTAGTTAAACACAGAAAATGTGTTAGTGAAGTATACATTCACTTTCAGGCAAATACTCTTAAAAGAGTTTCCTTAGCAGGAATCATTGAGGAAGGACAATTCCTTCAGTTGTGTCTGGATTGTTGCAGCAGGTCACTGATTTCAGACGGACTTTATGGAGTCCTAGAGTCCCATAGAATTCCCTGAGAGACTGTCAGTGGGTAGCAAGGAGATGAGAGGGGGTGGGCTACTTGGAAGATATCCTAAAGCATGTAGTCGAAACACAAATCCAAGAAAGTAACCACATAACCCACATTGACTCGGTACTTTTTTTTGTTCTGGCAGATACCTAGTCAGAACAGAAAGAAATAAAATAATGATAATAAGAATAATATCATGAATAATTTTTGTGGAGAGCTTACTAGGTCTTAGGTACTAGAATAAATATCTTACGTATATTAATACATGTAATTTTCACCTCATCCTCACTAGGTGGCTAATATTATTATTATCCGCATTTGTGTTTGAGGAAACTGAGGCAGAAAGTAATGAAATACCTTGTTCAAAATTTATCCAGGCAGCAAGTGGTAGAGTCCAGATTGAGGCTGACTCTAAGCTTCCCTGAACTTCCCCCTTCTAAAGAGCAGCTCTGCCTTTATATTTGATTTATTGAGGTTTCACCTAAGATGTTTTATTTATTTATTTATTTATTATTATTTTTTTTTATTATACTTTAAGTTTTAGGGTACATGTGCACAATGTGCAGGTTTGCTACATATGTATACATGTGCCATGTTGGTGTGCTGCACCCATTAACTCGTCATTTACATTAGGTATATCTCCTAATGCTATCCCTCCCCCCTCCCCCCACCCCAAAACAGGCCCCAGGGTGTGATGTTCCCCTTCCTGTGTCCAAGTGTTCTCATTGTTCAATTCCCACCTATGAGTGAGAACATGCGGTGTTTGGTTTTTTGTCCTTGCGGTAGTTTGCTGAGAATGATGGTTTCCAGCTTCATCCATGTCCCTACAAAGGACATGAATTCATCATATTTTATGGCTGCATAGTATTCCATAGTGTATATGTGCCACATTTTCTTAATCCAGTCTATCATTGTTGGACATTTGGGTTGGTTCCAAGTCTTTGCTATTGTGAACAGTGCCACAATAAACATACATGTGCATGTGTCTTTATAGCAGCATGATTTTTACTCCTTTGGGTATATACCCAGTAATGGGATGGCTGGGTCAAATGGTATTTCTAGTTCTAGATCCCACTGACTTCAAGCTACCAATGACTTTCCTCACAGAATTGGAAAAAACTCCTTGAAAGTTCATATGGAACCAAGAAAGAGCCCGCACGGCCAAGCCAATCCTAAGCCAAAAGAACAAAGCTGGAGGCATCACCCTACCTGACTTCAAACTATACTACAAGGCTGCAGTAACCAAAACAGCATGGTACTGGTACCAAAACAGAGATATAGACCAGTGGAACAGAACAGAGCCCTCAGAAATAATGCCACACATCTACAACTATCTGATCTTTGACAAACCTGACAAAAACAAGAAATGGGGAAAGGATTCCCTATTTAATAAATGGTGCTGGGAAAACTGGCTAGCCATATGTAGAAAGCTGAAACTGGACCCCTTCCTTAAACCTTATACAAAAATTAACTCAAGATGGATTAAAGATTTAAATGTTAGACCTAAAACCATAAAAACCATAGAAGAAAACCTAGGCAATACCATTCAGGATATAGGCATGGGCAAGGACTTCATGTCTAAAACACCAAAAGCAATGGCAACAAAAGCCAAAATTGACAAATGGGATCGAATTAAACTAAAGAGCTTCTGCACAGCAAAAGAAACTACCATCAGAGTGAACAGGCAACCTACAGAATGGGAGAAAATTTTTGCAATCTACTCATCTGACAAAGGGCTAATACCCAGAATCTACAAAGAACTCAAACAAATTTACAAGAAAAAAGCAAACAACCCCATCAAAAAGTGGGTGACGGATATGAACAGATACTTCTCAAAAGAAGACATTTATGCAGCCAAAAGACACATGAAAAAATGCTCATTATCACTGGCCATCAGAGAAATGCAGAGATACCATCTCATACCAGTTAGAATGGCGATCATTAAAAAGTCAGGAAACAACTGGTTCTGGAGAGGATGTGGAGAAATAGGAACACTTTTACACTGTTGATGGGACTGTAAACTAGATGTTTTATTTGTTAAATAATGTTTTACTACTAAACACAACTAATAACCACCATACAAGATAAACAAAATAATTATTTCTAATTAAGGATGTTAAAATGATGAGCTACATCAAATAGCAATCAGATAGATCAGCTACTATTTTCTGAGCATTTGGGCAGTTATTTCTATTTGAATTCCACCCAATAATCCCAGTATAGTCTCAATGTGTTTTTGAGGTTATTTTGGTGTAACATATTGGCATTAGAATATTTATAACATGCTTTTCTCCTTGATTCTTAATCGTCCTAAAAATCTTCCTTGTACAATTCAAAAATTTGCTAACAAAATTTGCTAATCTGTTCATTTTCAAGATAATGCAAAATGATTATTCAATATGTAAATGCATTAAAATGATGTCAAGTCACTTTTATATGACTAGGAACTAACAGCAGGGGAGTCTTAGCTAGAAGCAAACATAGATCCTGAAGTTTATACCTGTTTTGCCATTACTGTACTCAACAGCTACAGATGCTTAGAATCAGGTCATAGAGAAAAGTCCAAGTTGATAGGTCAAATGAAAAATGATACTTTAAAAGATTAAAAGTCAAGAATTCCCAACCAAGAACAGAAAAGATTTGTTGAGATATGAATAGCAGTTATTTTGTGTGTATCAGATATTTTTGGTTTCTAGTACCTGAGGATAGAAGAGTCAGTGATACCCACAGACATACCTACTTATATTCCACACCAATGTGTTTACTTCTAGCTCTTAATGATGGGGCTGAAGGCCTACAATTCAACAGGGCCATTCAATTCATAATGTCACCCAGGGAATACATTAATGCCAACCACTATTTCTCAGCAGAGAAAGCTTCTCATTCTGAATTCCTGTGAAGCACTTTCCTTCTTCGTTGGCCACACAGTCTGAAATATTTAGTTCACAATGGAAAAAGATAAAAACTTCAACTCTATCCGTTTTTTTTCAGGCTAAAGAGAAATAAACCTTAATGCCTCTCAAGCTTGTGATAGGTGACCTTTGTTGTCTGACAGGAAAATGAAAAGCCCCCTATTGTTATATTTGGCTTAATAAGGTGCTTGAGGTAGTATGCTCAGTAGCCAAAACTGACTGGTGATTTCCTTTCTAGATGACCCATTAAAATTGGCTGAAGATAATGAATTCATCCATCACTTATGACTAAGTGTACTGTCCCCTGCATGCACTCAGGATAATAGCATTTCAAAATGAAGGGTATTAAAATCATCAGATAAATCTAACATCACTGAGGAAAGTCATTTCAAAATGATCACCCGGAGGTCATCATTATGCACACTGATGCCAGTTTCCAACTGGTTGAGGCCCAAAATTGGAGAAGGGAACAGGGCAAGGAGCAGTTTCTTGTGAGTGACATCACTATTTTTTAGCTACTAGGTTTCTCAGCCTTTTTCAGGAAGAAAGAGACTGAGACATAGAGAGATAAGAATGTTTTGCAGTTCCAGGTTTGTAGGAAATTTTTCTGCATTTTACAAAACTGAACCTTTATTTATTTTATTAATATGAAGCCATATGAAGTCATAATATTTCCAGAGAATAGGATGAAAATGTGATGAAAGACACGCAGCTTTGACACAGCTCCAGGAGAAGCTGTCTCTAGCATAAGAGTGAGGGCTAACTCAGCTTCATTCTGGACTCTACCACTTGCTGCCTGGATAAACTTTGAACAAGGCATTTAATTACTTTCTGCCTCAGTTTCCTCAAACATAAATGGGGATAATAATAATATTAGCCACCTAATGAGGATGAGGTGAAAATCACATGTATTAATATATGTAAGATATTTATCATAGTAACTGGGACCTAGTAAGCCCTCCACAAAGGTTATTCATGATATTTTTCTTATCATTGTTTTATTTCTTTCTGTTCTGACTAGGTATCTGAAAAAAAAAGTACTGAGTAAATGTGGTTTTTGTGGTTACTTTCTTGGATTTGTGTTTCAACTAAATTCCTTAGGATATCTTCCAAGCCATCTTGCATTTTCTTTTATTAACTGGATTTCATAACACTCATGATCAGAAACTAATCTTGTTTAATCCAACTTACCTATTACTTTGGGAAACGTGGGATACTGAAAGCATAATATTGGACTTAGTTTGTTGGTGGGGGGTGGTAGAGCAAGGAGTCTGGAATGATAAGAACCCTCTGGAACATGAATGGTCTGATGTTCTTTCATTGTGGAAGGTGATAAAAAGACAGGATAGGAGTGTCAATCTATCTCAACCAAAACCTTCTATCATTCATTATGGGTGACTGTTGTTATGGTAAAGGAACATAGTGGAGCAGAATGGATGTTGGAGAAGATATTACAACCAGTTTACCTATAAAGCAAAATATGCCAAATTCCCCTAATCTACTTTCTCCCTATTACCCTGGGACCCTATAGGAGCTAAAGTAGGATCCTCCTTCCCACTAAACCTGTAGGGAACATTCTCATTTGTTTTCTTTTTATCAGATTAAGAGACTATAACCAACTACTGTGTACAGGGCAAACTTGCTGATGAAAAGTTTCACTTATTTGTGGCCCATCTTTATTAAGAAATATCTACTTAGCTAATTAACTCTTTGTTTAGATCCTAGGACTACAAATATAAGTAAGATATAATCCTCGCCTTCAGGGATCTCATAGTCCAACAGAGGAAAACCCTATGATAGAGTGGCTCTAACAAGTAACAAATCATTTAAGCATAAAAATTGTTCTAGAAACTGAGAGGAGGAAGAAGCTGGTTGACCAAGTAATCAGTTGCTGCTGACCAATTTTTATAGCATCAGTGAAAATTCATTCATTTAAATGAAGCTCATTCAAAGAGACAGATGGTCTCAGAAATTAAAATATCCCTAGATGCTTTCCTGAGTTAACATATTTTGATAGAACTGAATAAAAAGAAGACTTCTTTAGGCTTTAATGTTTTCTATGTTATAGCACTGAAAGAGGTGATTCTTATTCAGCAAGGACTTCTTCTAGGCATTCTTGGTCTCTATGTTTGCAATTTGATTCTATTAATATTTATAGAACAGCCACAGGGTGCTCAGCGCAGTCACCAGTTATATAATTTCATTGAGTTTCACTCTTAAAAAGCAATGTTGGAGCATCCAACAGGGATAAATATTTAGTGGTGAAACTATGTATCAGAAGAAATCATTTAAATTCATTACTCACCATGCCCCTGAGCTATAATTCTATAGTATTGGAGGCAAAACTAAGAATAAAACCCCAAATGCCATAACTTGGGTTTAGAATTCAAGACAATGAATGTAGCTATGTAAATTCTATATTTCACAAATAAGATTATTATTCCTTACCATAGTAAACTGAAATGTAAAAGATAAGGGAAGAGTGAGATTAAATGTCTTAACCTGACGGTTAATTGATTTATAAGCTTCAAGTTTCGTGGGCCACTTCTACTAAACTACATACATTGGAATATTTTTAAATATAGTAAAATTTTGGTTGCAAGCTAATACATAAAGGTCAAACAGAAATTAGATTATATTTAATATATGTATCTATTCATCTTTTCTTGTAGATATTTTTAGATTTATACCTCCTTACTTTACCATTTATCACTCTTTCCGCCAGCACCATTCCTTGGATGGGTTCAGAGTTCCCAACTTAAAAATTCATTCTCAATTGTATGAATCATCTTTTTAACAATTCTTATTATTTTGGTAAAATATATATATAACATAAAAATTACTATTTTAACCACTTTTAAGTATACAATTCGGTGGCATTAAGTATATTTACAATGTTGTGCAAACATCATCACTATCTAGTTCCAGGAAACTCCATGCCCATTCAGCAGTCACTCCTTCCCTCCCTCCTTCCCCTAGATCATGGAAACCACTAATATGCTTTCTGTATCTTTGTATTTGTCTATTCTGGATTGTGTGGCTAATTGAGATGACTGGTGCTGACCTGGGAACAAACATTTTAGTGCCTGGGATGCTGACCTCATTCTTATTCTGGGAAATGCTTTCAAAATTTTACTTCTTTTCAACTTTGGAATGCATGTTCCAACACTTACCATTACTTGCCCCGCTGTAGGATACTGACTTTTAACTCTGTTTTGCCTTTGGGCTCACATTCTGTTTATATTAGACACCCAAGTTTTTAAGAATGCCATCTGTGAATGGCATGTAAATGTAAATGGCATGAGTGTAAATGACATAGGTGAATGAATGTAAATGGCAATAGGGTAGTAGAATGAGTAATTAATTCAGAGCTACTACTTGGGGTTTACTCTCCAGAATGATCTAAAAATTCAACACATGTTTATTGAGTCCTTCCTAAGTGCAAAGTGCTGTGAGTGTGTGAAGGTAAAAATTTCAGGGGACTATGGATGGATGCACAACACTCAATCCCTCCAATGATAGAAAAGAAAAAAAGGACAATCTCTCAGGCCTCACCACCAAAGGAGGCCCAGCATCTTATTGAACTATGGGATATTAGAGACAGTATGTCTCAGTTGGCAATTCTACTTGATCCTTTATATCAGCTATTCTGCAAATCCATATCCTTTGAATAGTGCTTGAATCAATGGGCATCTCTGAAAGTTGTCCAAAACGCTTTGACTGATGACAATCCACATGAGTGGCAATTTTGCCTGTTATAGTCTCTGGGAAAGGGAGGCCATCTGAATCACTTATGCAGATGCTTATGGTAAGTGTCTGTTTTATGATGAAATTGACTGCTGTGAAGCTGCTGATCAAGCCTGCACTGCCCTGGGTGACAACACTAATAGCTGGATCTTTCAGTGTATCAGAACTCATAACACATTGACCATCATAGACTGGGCACAAATTAAAAGACTTTATACTTTGAATGCAGAGCTACCACTGCATGAAAGATTTGTGACTTTCCCCAAAAGTTGATGGGGAGGCCACTTTGCATGGGCTATGACCTCTGCTTACTCCTGGGAGTCTATCAGGCATATGGCTCCTTTTGGGGCCATAAAGGTGGCCTGATTGCTGTTGATACTTGTCAGGGTATGGAGTTGTTGCAGTCTGATCAGCTGACTCTGGTCACAACATTGTGGCCCTTGAACTAATCGAATGTGTCATGTTTTTGGCTTTTCAGGCCATTTTTAGTCCGACAATTGTGAGCCTTCTAACACAAAAGCCACATGGCCGTGGACTGATAGTCAAAATATTCAATAGCTTTTCATGCTCTGTGCTTTCCACAGGCATCTGGTATTTGGTGCACTGGAATGGCCCCCTCAAAAGTTGACTCAAAAACATTTTGACTCTACCTCTCTCACCTTCTTCTGATCCATACACCTTCATGAAGCAGTTTGCTCATTGAATGCACTGTTCTCAGAAAGGGATTATCGCCTTTAGGCCACTTCCTGGGTTATGATCGAGGCAAAAAGCATTGGATTGGGAAGTTATACAGACCTACTTTGAAAAATTTGGGATTCTGTTCCAACCATGCCTGGGCATGATTCTTCTTTCTTTTTCCTTAATGACATCACCGTTTTAGTGTGGTTTATGCCTCCATTGGATGGCAGCCTGGTCTAGGAGATTCAAACTTTATTTGATTCAGCCACCTGGATTCTATTCTTGAATTGACATGATCCAAGATCATATGGCTAATGACCACTTGGCTTAGTACATTAGTCATGAATTCCCACAAAATGGACAACATAAGACAAAATAGAGAACATAATGGGTCTTTGAAAGATTTAGTAAAATGCCTTTATCATTCCTGTGGCTGGCTTTTCCTGATGAAATGTCTGGATGCAACTAGGAGGAGATTAGAAAAAAATGTAAAGCTATAGCTACTGGACTAGGACATGCTTTTTTGGGGAGGTTTTGCAGGGAGGTGAAATGTGAGCAATGACCTGGAGGGAAACACTGTAGACCCTGAGAAGTACAAGAGAATGAGGGACATTAGTGATCACTGACTTTCAGAATCAACACTGGAACTTTTTTCACAAAGGAAAATACTCTGATAAGGCTCTCTGAAAGTTTTGTAAACACCTCGAAATAGTTAACTAACGGTTGGTCTGTCATCTTCTGCCACATGATTTTGACTACGATTCGATCTGTACTCCCTAAAACTTTACCTGGGAGTCTGTTGGAAACACCAGGGAGGGCCGAGCTCCTGCACTTATAGTGCAAAATACCCCATCAGTACCTCAGAATATTGTTTCTAACCCCATTCCTGCAGCCATTGTAGTGACATGGAAAAACAGGCAGGTTGGACTGATATCCCGAGGCAGTCTCTTCAGAAACAAGGAGTAGATTTAATTATTTGAACTGAACTGGAAATCTAAGCCCTGCCAGTTATCTAAGAAATTGTGTTGGAAGCACTGCCTCCTGTTTCCTTAATTGATATAGGTCCCAGTTAGGAGGCACTGACATTTAATTTGGTTCCAGCCTCCGTTCAGATTAAGTACTGTGGCTGATGAAGTGGTGTACTCAAGAGAAAATTTACCAAAAGACAAGAGTATAGAAATGAAGAGGAAATATCATTGGGAGACAGTTCTCCATGGGTTTCTTCCTTTTCTGCACATCTTGCGAGCAGAGGGACTAACTAACCTTTGTTCAGGGATCTCTTTTAAAGGATTTTTGTGTGGCAAACAGCCTCAGAAGTCGGAGCTATTTTCACCAAGGACGTGTTACTGTATATTATAAAACACTAGGATTTCCTAAGCTCAGGGTAACTCTGCTGTAATTCCATTCACTCCTTATGCAGGTGTCACCAGACCCTTTTTACATTGTCTTATGGGAATTGGGACATAGGGGTCAGCACAAGAAAATTGACACTCTAACCAATGCTCTTTCTGCAAGTAATAAACTGTGCTTTGTTTCTGACCCAGGAGTCTCTTATCTTCTGCCAGCATCCATGGAACTGGCAGAAGCTTGCTCAACTTGCTAACTTAAAAGCAGGTTAAAAATTTTAGACTCTTTACTATTTCTTAAGAAGCCTGCCCTGATATAGGGTCTAAGCTGTGATGTGGATGATGCTGTTTGTGAAAATAAAATTTCCAAAGGTTGAAGCCAGATCCACCAGCCAGAATTGCTAATGAAAATATAGATCATTCTAATATGCTTTGGAAAATCAGAGAAATGAACTTGAGGTTTGATGATTGGCTTTACTTAGAAAGTATGAATTTTTGGTGGGCTAATCAACTGCCTTTCTATTTTAGCTAAATTGACTAAATAATATGATCCCATATTAATCATATTCCTTAACCAAAGAGCCAAAACACTAAATGCTTCTTGGTTATAGAAACTAAGCATAAATAACTGCTAATTCCTGCATACTTGAATAAGTAACTAGAACACAACTCTCATAATATAAACCAAGATAGAAAGAAACCTAGTTTTGCAAACTGGGTTATAGTTTTGAAGTTAAAGGAAGGTAGGGATCAGGTCCCCCATTTTCAGAAAGAGGCACCATTGTGATAGTGTAAATTGATTTGAGAAACAATGCTGAAAGCCCATGGTGAGTACCGAAGGACACTGGGTTAAGGTCGCAAAGACGATTCACAGCACAAATGGGGAGTTTCAGGTTGGCAGAAAGAAAACCCTTCGAGATGCATAATGGAGAGAGTGACAAAACTGAGCCCCACAGAATGTGGAAAGCTGGACAGCTTAAATGTATCTTTTCAAACTCATGCTAGCAAGGAATGGATTACTATATTGCTAAATCTGAAGGTGTGGTATATTGGAGCTAGGAGGTGGTGTGCATTCTGCAATCAGTGGGTTGAAAATGTTGGGAAAATCAGGGAACGGGAAATGAGTCAAGGAGCTGCTGCCTTCTGGAAACTTAGTATCTATGAGAATAGTACACACTGAAGGAGCTGAGGGAGTGGAGAATGGAAAACAGAAGACTGTGCTCCAGGAACTGGGAAAGATTGCCTGAAGAGGAACTAGGATAGTGCCAAAGCATACTTTTCTTTGACCTCATAATTGTTTTCTTGGAGCTTCTAGCATGCTTAGTTAGGAGACTCATCTCCGCATGCAAACGACAGAATGTTTATTGTTATTACTGGTGCCATTATTATTACATGAATATAAATGATTATGTCACACTAAAATATGTCTTTGGACCAAAAAGTAATAAAATTTTGTCATTTTATTACTTTATCGAGTTGAAAGTCACATGAATTCATTTTATTTCTATTTAGCTCTGGAGAATAAATTTGAATTCTTTCCTTCAGTGGCAATATTGCTTTTAGCAATTTCTATCAAAAGATGACAGATGAAATAATTTTGGAAAGATGGGTAGGACTAAATATATGGTTTTATTAATGGGGTCTACCGTATGCATTTGCATCATGAAAATATGAATATGTATAAAACATACTTGTAAATTCTGATTTCCTAAATCACACCAGCCTTGGGGAGGGATAGGAAGATAAAACTTGGGTAACCTTCAGAGTGGCATTACTCAGGTCTCAAGTCAGATCTTGAAGTTTGTAACTATACTTATTTTAGATTGCAAACTTTGTTATGTTTCCTATTTTATAGGTAGGAAAAAAAAAGCAGATTACTTAGGGAAATATAACAGATACTGAACCAAACTCCAACTGAGTGTTGGTTAGAGAAAAGCAGGGATCAGGAATCCTATTAGCAGATGAGGGCTTTCACGGATCTTGGTTCCCTTTCACCTCTATTTCTCCATTATTTGCATCTTATACATACTTTGTGCGTCCAATAAAAATACATCTCAAATGCAATGTGACATTCCCCAAGTGAAGATCATCCCTTTCCATTTTGAAGTAGGATGGCTTTGTTATTGCAAGAATAACTTCCTTCCCTTCGCTGTGTTCCTCCTGTGATAATAATGCCAAGACACAATTATGGTTATTCAGCAAACAGATTTAGTTCTGGTTTCTGCTACAAACTAACACAGAAAAAAACCCCCAGAAAACTGGCTCAGTCATTCAAGGTCAAGGTTAAAGAATTCTTTTTTCTAGTTTTGATTTAATTTGGATGCCACTGCCATGTGGTCACAAAGATCCTTTGCTTGGCCAAACTTCAGTCAGGCTTCTGAAATTTCTCCTTAGCCCATCTCTGTACTTCCTTATAACATCCTGGCTTAGCAAGGCAGTTTAGTTCAATATCTGCTCACACCAGATATCTGATTGGATTCTTCATCCTTCACCATCCCCCAGGTGACGTCTCATTACCCTGGCCTGCATTCAGCAAGAATCCTGTTAGGTTGGTTTAGCCAGAATCCCCCTTACCTCTGATGTTTCCTCTTAGTAATTTTCCATCCTTTGACCCCCTGCTTTGCTCCTTGGATGTAAATTCCCACCTGCCCATGCTGTATTTGGAGTTGAGCCTGATCTCCCCAACCACAAGACTCTATTGCAGTGGTCTCTATACCTATTGCAATGGTCCTGAATAAAGTTTTTCATACTGTGCTTTAACAAACATCATTAAATAATTGTTTCTTTTGTTTTTTTTTTTTTTTTTTTTTGAGGCAGAGTCTCGTTCTGTCGCCCAGGCTATAGCGCAGTGGCACGATCTCGGCTCACTGCAAGCTCTGCCTCCCGGGTTCACACCATTCTCCTGCCTCAGCCTCCCGAGTAGCTGGGACTACAAGCGCCCACCACCACGCCCGGCTAATTTTTTGTATTTTTAGTAGAGACAAGGTTTCACCGTGTTAGCCAGGATGGTCTAAATCTCCTGACCTCGTGATCCACCTGCCTCGGTCTCCCAAAGTGCTGGGATTACAGGCTTGAGCCACCGCGCCTGGCCTAAATAATTGTTTCTTTAACAATGGTGTCACTTTTTTTTTTTTTTTTTTTTTTGAGACAGGGTCTCACTCTGTTACCCAGGCTGGAGTTTGGTGGCTTGATCATGGCTTACTGCAGCCTCAACCTCCCCAGGCCCAGGTGATCCTCCCACCTCATCCTCCCAAGTAGCTGGGACCACAGGTGCACACCACCACACCCAGCTAATTTATGTATTTTTCTGGAGAGACGGGGTTTTGCTGTATTGCCCAGGTTGGTCTCGAACTCCTAGGCTCAAATGATCCTCCTCTCTTGGCCTCCCAAAGCGCTAGGATTACAGGTGTAAGCCATCGTGCCCTACCTACGTTTAATAAACAATCTTGCCATGCCACTCATGTGGCAGTGCAGGGAAAACATCTTGGGTGTCTGGAACAGGGTAAGTAAACACCACAGTGAGGCAGAATCGGTGGCCACCACCTGGTGTGAACCTGGATAGTGAGAGTTAAGGCCTCTCTGTACAGTAGCATCTTCCCAAGTCAGGAAAGGGCCACAGATTTGACATCACAGCTTTCTCTCCCTGGATTCAGAACACTGTTTTCTCCTTAAGAACCTCACAGGAAGGCACAAATATACTTCTAGGGTAATATCTAGCAAGAGAGAATAAAATAACAATCTCAAGGCTGCCTTTAAGGGGCAATAGTGAAGTTATTCCCAAACTGAGGGGGAAACATTTTTATCCCCAGCTCACTTATTGCCTTATTTGCTGGAGTTGATTCCTTTGTATTCCTTAAGAATTATTAGCTAATATATTAATGAGGGTCACTGGGAGATGGGATGTGATCATTAAACAGGGAAAAGACGAGCTTCACACACAAGCTTTAGTCTACTTTTCAGTTTTGCCCAAAGTTGGATAGGGTCTTGGTTCCTCCCCACCTTCACATTTCCACTATTCACATCTCCTGCACACTTTGTGCATCCAACAATAATACACCTCAAATGCAATGCTGTTTCCTGAGCCTCTTAAGGAGCTTATTTTTATCATGCCAAGAACTTTCTGCTTTCCATGAAAGTAGTTCTTTTAGTTAGCACCTTGAATATTCCTTTTTCTAAATTCTTGCTCTCAAATGAAGAACCGCTTTGAACACTACAAAAAATCTAAGTAGAGAAGAGGACTGGGAGAAAAACAGACAGTGGCCATCTGTTGCTCTGGCTATCCTTGTGCAAATTGGGAAAGCTGTTTCTTTTCTTTTTTTAAAAGACATGTTTAATTTTGAAATTATATAAATGTTTAAAGTAGCTAAAAAGCCCAATATTAAACTAATAATTTATCTCAAAGTTTATGAAACATGATTGACTTTACTCACCTTCTAGCACATAAACATACCTTCTAGCACATAAACATCCGAATAAATATTATCAAAATCAGATTACAAAATGGGGAGCTTTATTCTTACTCAATTGGTAGTATCATTTTCTAAAACTTTTTAGAAATAAACTTTGGCAATTGGCTTCAAAACTAAATTAAAATTAGACCAAACATTATTTTTACTATATAATCATATTTTTTCTTTTCCCCAACTTTTCATAAGACTTGAAGCCATATATCTCCTAGCTGTTTTCAAAATTCAAATCTGTTATCAACACAATTTGTTATATTTTATTTTTCAAGACATTTTCTTTTAGTTTCAGAAAAGATCCCTGATTCTATAGAAGTAACAATGAAAAAAATGTCTAAAGCCACCAATGAAAACCAATATTAAAAAAGTATTATAAAGAGTCAACAATTTTTGGGTGTGTGGCATATGGCAGGTTTGTTTTAAAAAGTCACTTTTCTAAATGTTATACCCCATATTTTGTCTGGTTTCAAAACCAATGTGATTGAGGAAATCAGCTTTGAGAGTCATAATAACTTCCTGAGTTTTCGTTCGTTTGTTTCTTTATTGTCGCGAGATCGCTTATTGCTCACATTGAACCATTTATTTATTCTTCTATAAAGATGCCAATGCCACAGTTTCAGCAGAGAAGCAGTCAGTAGATGTAAGAGGTTCTTTTCTGAAAGAAATAGATTCATGCTTCTTGTCTAGCATTTATGCAGTTATTCTGATAATGAATTTCTAGGTCAATTTTGTAAGTGGAAGGTATACAACTCTCACAACCAAATAGGCATTTGGAATCTGTAGTAAGAAGCACTAGACAATTTGAAAGAAGCACTAGACAATTTGAAAACAAAGTCAGAAACAGGAACTCTTAATGAAATTGATAACGAATATTCAGTATATAATATGAAAGATAGCTAACTGCAGAAATCATACACTAAAGAAAAAATAATAAAATTCACCCACTCTAAGAAGGCATTTGTAAACATTTTAATAACACCAAGTTGTTGTTTTAATATTTAAACCTCATCAAGATAATTACAGCAATTGAATTCAGTGGGTCCAAATGCCTGTCCATGGATAAACTGCATCAGAATTACCTGGGGAGTTTTAAAATTGTTTCCACTTTGGAAACTTTTGATATAGTCCCTAGGGCCTTAATTTAAAACTATTGAAACAAAATTGCAAAGATCAAGGTATCTTTAATTTAAAAAATATCTCAGGTGATTCCGATACAGTTTAGCTATGGACAGGACTACATTCAAGAACTCCAGGTGCAAAGGAGAGTATCCTTAGCAGTTGTCTCAGAGAAACTGCAGAGTAGAATAACCTTTATCGATCAGAGATGAACAACACACGACTCCTGCTTTAAAAAAACTCTGTTAGGGGAAAGGAGTTGGAGGTTGCCAAGAGTGGGTTCTCTGCAGACGCTGAAGAGAGAGAAACCTGAACAATTCTGAAGAATCTAGATGGACTTTGAAAAATGTGGAGGCTTTTACTGAGTAATATAGGATGTTAAGTTCAGCAGGTGATGGAAGATAGGGGCAAGACACTACGTGTACGAAGGGATAGGTCTGTAAGAGAACATGTAATGATCTCTTAAAATGTTTGCTGGGCCTCTCTCCTTAGAGTTAAATTTCCCTGCAGGGGATCTTTGGCAGATGTCCTTTGAGCTGAGAGCAGAAGGGCAAAGGGCATGACCCTTGCCCTCTAGCTGGTCCGTGTATTCTCTTATGCAGCTGTTAGAGATGCTTATCAGCCTTCAAAGGTTGCCCGCAGGGAATCCCTGCTGGTGCCTACTGGCACGTAGAAGTCCTTTTCTTTAGGGAGTATCTCTCAAGCTAGAGGCAAATCTAACCAACACATGTTTAACCTAGGACAGTATATAAAACCCTTTTTGTATGCACGATTTCATCTAATCTTCACAACGATCCTGCAAGACTAGTGTTATTTCTCAACATTTTTTTTTCTTAGGGGATTAAGTCACTTGCTTAAGAACATAAACAGCTAAGAAGCCGTGCAGCAGGAACTCAAACCTATGTCTTGGACTCAGAATCCTGTGATCTTTGCTCTACATTTATAAAGCCTCTCTGCTTCTGGGTAAACCGATGAAATTGAGATTCTGGGTTTATAAGGCTGAAAGCCACACCCGCACTAGTCATACTTCCGCCTTGAGATTTTAAGTTTCCTTGGAGTGTTCTTCAAAAGGACTATGTGGATCTCAGTAAAATCACAACAAATATTTGTTAAAAAATAAACGGATATATTTTATACTTTGAGAGTCTTTGCAAAGTGTATCGAAGTTAATCTTCCTTAAAAGCTTAATTCAGAGGAATTTTATTTCTTCTAGGTCTGAAAATTATGCTCCCATGCCTTTAATTAACAGAGGACAATGCCTTAAAAAGAAGGCTTTCCCAATGCAGAGAGCAACATACTAACAGATTGAAATAAGGTAAGCTACGGGTATAAGGGTGTAATGTTGACATGAGAAGGGAAAATACAAAATAGTGGGTATCAAGACCTGTGTGAATAGAAGGGGAACTAGAAGACAGGCTTACAAAAGTGACAATGAGGACGTTTCTTTTTTATAATGATGTCTAGGGTTTCCCCAGTCTATACCTGCTATTTTTGTAGTTTCTTTATGAAATACTTTGAGCTATTTAGCAAATTATAGATCATTCATACTCTTTCACTTAGTCCCCTGACTTCTATTGCCAACCTAGCAACTGTTGTTTTCCTCAGTAGAAATAGATATAAAAATAAAGCATCAGACCAAATGTGCTTAAATGCAGTGATCAAATTCTCTTAGAGAGTGGTTTTAAAATCTGGATGCAGCTGAGCCCATTCCTTAAGCAAAAACATGGAAGCCCAATAAGTAAAACAAAAGCAGAGCTGATGTCATAGAAATGGGGTCAGGGGGACAAACCTCTATTTCATCACATCCTTCGGGGCAACCTTTCGACTCCTCTGGCAAGGGAGATCCACTTCTGGGATTTGAAACGAGGTGAATTATCCTGTTTTGTTTTTGTTTTACAACGGGACCTAGAATCTATTCTTTGCATGTCTTTTCTGGCTCCACTAAAAAGTAGAGTTCAGGACAGTCAGGAATCTGGGTGGCACATAAGCTAAGTCCCATGAAAATGGGAAGTGGGAAAACTGACATATATCTAGTAACATTTCAATAGCAACAAAGAACTATTTTTCTTTGAAAATTTTCACAGTGAATATAATCTCATGAAAGAATAAATGTTCTGTCATTTTTGGAATTTAAAGAGTGGGATGAATAACTTTTAAAAATACTGAAAAGTGCATTATATCTCTTTGACTTGCGGTTTAGCTCCACCATCCATCATAATTGTAGGCGATAGGAAGAGAATCTTGATCATCAATCTACCCTCCTGCTCTTGTCAGCGCTGCTGTCCTCAGATAAACATAATTTGTTTCTACTGTTTTTATTTTCTGAAAAGATTTGAATAAATGGAAACATACAAGCTTTTATTTTAGGCATTGTCTTTTGTAGAACTGAGTGGCTTTGGAGCTTGTTTAAAGCTTGGCCAACCAAAAATGGAGAAAGGAAATTATATGTACATTTTATGTTATATAGTAAACTTTAGGTCATCTTGCTTTCTACTGGGCTAGAGGATATTAGATCTTGCGTGCTTTTGTAAATCACAGGATGAGATATTTATGAAGCTCTTATGAAAATTATATAATTTTCAAAGTGCTCTTTCTATTAAGGATATGTGTAGTTTTTTCACTGAGTAATGTTTCACAGGCAGCATTCTTCTGCCTATGTGCAATAGCTAGAAATCTTGAAGAAAGGAGATTCAACTGAACTTGGACCTGCCATTGTTGAGTACTTCTCACTTATAAATTAGATTTACCCTCATATGAGATACAATTTCTTTTTGTATTCAATCCAATTCTTCATTCACTTTATGGCATTTCTCTACTCTTGGCCTTTTAGGCATCCAAGTTTTTCAGAACGTTAGTCCAATTAAACATCTCTGAGAATATTCATAGGTATACACCAACTATCTCTAAATCCCAGAGAAAATTAGGAGATGCTCGGCTTATTCTTTTTCTGTAATTATCTCTTTAGAAATAAGAAGTCTTCTAAATTTATCTCCATTCTATATTGACTTGAAAGGCCATTACATACACAAGAAAACTTAGAGGTATAAATATATAATGTGAAATGTCTGTTTTTTGAGTTTTTTCTTTTCTTTAAAGTAACTTATTTAGAGATTTTGGGGTACAGAAGACTAAGGAAGACAGCACAGATTCAGTAGCAAAAAATTCCTGCATATCAGAGCATTTCTTTGAGGAAATATCATGGAGAGGATGTATGGAAATTTTAGTTGACTACCTAAGAAAGAGCTACCATGTTTTTATACACATGGACTCAAAATAAGTTTTGCCACCAGTTTTAATCCTCCACATAGTCCTTTGGCATTAGGTGGCCAGTCAGATGATCTTGTTGCTAACACTCTCCTTTTTGGTCCTTACAATAGAGATGGTAATTCCTAAAATGGCTACGTAAAGAGGGTGTCATGAAAATTACCTTAAAAATGGGTGCAAAGGTTGAAAAAAAAACTGAATCCAGATTATGAGCTCATTCCACAAGAACGAATCAAACAGGGATGATATTCTTTTCTAAATGCAGATGAGTGTTGGAACAGCATGCACATTCTTATAGGCTCAGACAACCTGAAATTCCAGTTTTTTTGAGCCCTTCAAAGTTTTGGCTTTTCAGAAAAAGACTGAAGAGAGGAAACGACTCAGCATCATTGAAAAAAGGAATAGATCAAACTTGAACTCAAAAGTTCTATTTTCAGTTGAGGAAGTCTTGTTGCTAAAGCATGGATCTGTTCACAACTTGAACACACTGAACAAGCCCCACTTCTTTTGCAACCTCTAGTCTTACAACAGAATATGTGTAGATATGTACCCCTTTATAATGATTTTGTTTTGCATGCAATCAAATGGTTATGAAGTTTTTGTACAAGAATTTCCGTTTGAGGCCAAACTTTATTCCTGAAGTGTCATATATAGTTCCTCTTAAAATATTTATTGCTATTACTTTTGATTCCTTAATGTGAGGTTTGGTAGAGCAGTAACTGCCATCTCTTACCATGTTGTTATCTCAGTTGCCAACTATACTTTTCTATTTTTTAGAGCACTTTTAGATTCCCAGCAAAATTGAGCAGAAAGTACAGAGTTCACATTTACTCCCTGCCCCTGCAAATGCACAGCCTCCCCCACCATCAAGGACCCTCACCAGATGGTACATTTGTTACAATTGATGAACATACATTTATATTTCTTTATCACCCAAAGTCTATAATCTCCATTAGGGTTCACTCTTGGTGTTGTACGTTCTATGGGTTTTGACAAATGCATAATGCCATATAGTAACCATTAAAGTATCATATAGTATCACCTTAAATATTCTCTGTGCTTCACCTATGGACATATGTGTCTCTCCTTCTCCCTCCTCCCAGCCCCTGCCAACTACTGCTCATCTTACTGTCTTCATACTTTTGCCTTTTCCAGAATGCCATGTAGCTGAAATTATATAGTAGCTAGCCTTTTCAGAACAATTATACTTTTGGAAAACCGAAAGTATTTAGTTGCAAATCATAGGATTCATTTCTAAATCCATGGCTATTTTTAAGATGAAAAAATTAGTAACAATTGTAAATATAGTTATTTTAATATAAGATATAAATGTATGTGTTTCATATAAAATAAAAATATGTATGTATTCTTTGCATGATCACTGCATCCAATGTCAGGGACCATTTTCAGATCCTGAAAGAGGCAAACTATTGTCTTGACTGTATTCATATGTAATTTCCAAGTCTCCTTCTTTTGTATTCTTAGATAAGATACCTGCTGAGAAAAAAAGACAACTAAGGCTAAAATACTTGATAAAGAGAGATTTGCCTTTTTCACTTTAAGATTCAGTTTTTCTGTTTTCATCTACTTTTCCATCAAAAAAGGAAATCCTGACTTCTACCAGGGTCATAACTTCTTAACATATTTCCTGCCTGACTAGAATTTAGAAGACTTGAAATTTTCAAAATGGATTGCTGGAGGCTTAATTTTTAATTACTATTTTAGGTTAGCCGTCTTGTTCCTCCAAACTAAACCCCGAGTAGTTTGTGTTTATGATTACCCTGGCAGCTGTGAAACAAGGTGACAAGGAGGTCTTGTTTTTGTTTTGTCAGAAGTAACTGTTATGGACCTTGTTAGGCTATGGCGATTTCGTCCCTCTACATCGATGGTGTTAAAGTCTCCCCATAAAGTGAAGTTTTAAAATCTCATAGTAAAAAAATCAATTTTCCTTTGAACTGCCAACCAAGTTTCCATGTCACAATTTGTAAACGTCATTATGGTGTAGTGAAAACTGCTTGAGAAGTCCTAGAGAACTGTGGAAAGAAACACTTATGTGTGAGTTTTGCTAGCTGTCAATTCTTACATATGGAAACCTAAGACAAGAAAGTGATAATATTTAAAGAAGAGGAGGGATACTGAAGGAACAAAAAGAGTGTGTTAAGCTTTGTTCCATGTGTTAATAATGTTAATGCTTTTTAATTGTTATTAAAAATTTGGTAGTTGGCTCTTCTTTTTATCAATGAAATGTCAATTAATTTTGAGAATAATTTTCAACCCCACGTGAGATAAAAAAGTCACAAAACCGAGAGACATTATTACCTGAAGAGGAAGTGGTTTAGGAAACTTGTCAATCACAGTCATGACTAGGGAACCACTTTGGTCACTGCTTCCGATCTTAACTAGCTGTTATTTGGAGAACAGTTGGTGGCACCCAAGCTAGATGTCACATTCATGACAATTGCTTGCGGTGGGGATGAAGGAGATGGATTTAAGACATATGTCCATGGAGGACGTTTTATTTTAAAAAATCAACTTTAAAAATTACTTGTAAAATATTCTAGTAATCAGCTGACCCTAAAATGTAGATGTTCTTTAATGGAAATAATATTCTTGATAAAGTCTGCATAAAACAAAGAGTGTTAAACTCTGTTGAAAAGTAAAGCAGATTTCTAATCTAAAATAAACCACCTTTGTTTTATGATATGCTGATAGGCGGATTGGTTGATTGAAAGTTATAGAAGAATTAGATAGGACATTAAACACATTAAAAACGTATGTCTGGACAAATGATAATTTGTTAGAATATGGTCAAAAGTTAAGCATGCAGAGGTACAGTCTAATAAATCTTAACTTTCAAATCAATTTTCAATAGATGTGAGTGATCTCAAAATTCTCAATGTATGAGATACCTTTACAAGAATCATTACTTACTACAAATCCTGGCATAGTTCTGTTTCTTTAAAATGCAGCAGGGTGAAAACATGTTATCTTAACAGCTGCCTCCTGAACTCCTTTCCGGGCAGTACTGTTTTGTTTATGCAACATTCACTAGGACAGGGAGACCCTGAGGGAATGGGTATTGGCAGGAATGAAAGTAAAGAAGGAACAGTTCTGCTTCTGTGAGCCAGGTGGAGAAGAGACGGTAGGACCAGAGAAGTAGTGTTGGAAGTGAGGTGGGTGTCAGAGATGCCAGAAAGGTTAAAGGCTGGAGTGCTACATGGCATAAATCTGTCAGTGAAAGTTTCTTAGGGGAATATGCTGGAACCTCTTTGGGACCCCGAAGTCTCCAGTAGAAGTTTTGTTATAGTTAATAGGCTTGATTTCGTTGTAGCTTTTGGGAGATGGGTTAGAAGAGGGACCTTTGCTCCATATTTGGGATGACCCCAGGATGAACATATAAAAATAGGCATGAGACACAGGGCAGGGGTAAAAAATTCAACCTGAGGAAGAAAATCATATCATAAGAGAATATGAGAATTTAAGGCATACCTCCACCTTCTCCATTCCCAGGAATTTGAATATAATTAGGGAAGATTTTGAATTTCCACAATCCATGCAATTGGATGTTTGAATTAGTCTTATTTAGATTTTAAGTAGTGAGGAGACCAGGTGACATCATGATTACACAATAAAGTGTGATTCCTTCCATGGTGTTTGAAACTTCAGAAGAGGTCTTTTGTCCATGTTTTTAGTGGATTTTATTTTTCATATTAACATGTAGAAGTTCTTTATATATATGAATACTAATCCTTGGGCAGTTATGCATGTAGCTAATATTTTTCTACTATATGGCTCTTACTTTATTGCTTTTACAATATCTTTTGATGAGCAAAAGCTTGAAGTTTTAATGAACTGTTTATTAATATTTTTCTTTGTAATTGGAATTTTCAGGGTCTTAAGAAATCTTTCCCAATTCTGAAGTCATGAAGATAAACTGTCTTCAACAACTAAGTTTTAGTCTTGAATCCATTTAAAGTTAATGTCTATGTATGATACAAAGCATGGATGCAATTTTACTTTGTTTTACTTTTTTGCCATAGAAGTGATAATAATGAATATCTTTGTCATTAAGCTGCTTTATCTTAAAGCAAATACTCTCAATGTTTTGCCATTAAGTGTGGCATTTATTTTACTGCTATTTTTATACATGTTCTTTTTCAGGTTAGGAAATTTCTTTCTTGTCATTTTCTTGTTAGTCTCCTTGCTTGGATTTTTTATGAGTGACACTGAATTTCACCACCCCCCTTTTTTTGAATCCATTGAGGTAATAACATAATTTTCCTTTTTTATTCTTTTAGAGTAGTAACTAATTTTAATACTTTATTGTTATTAATTCAATCCTATGTTTCTGAAATAATTCCAGCTGGGTCATGACATATATACACTTTTAAACAATGCTGTGCTCAATTTGTTGAATTTATGCTCATAAGTAAGATTGATAAGTAATGTTTTCCTTGTTTTTCCTTGGTATCACAGCTTGAGTGCTCCATCTCAAGCTTGAGAACTACATTCAAAATGTATTGAGGAGACTATCACTTTTTTCTATTCTCTGAAAACTTGTGTAGGATTGGAATTACCTGCTACAAAGCCATTTGGACCTGGTGTTCTCTTTTGGAGAAGATTTTTAACTGCTGATTTAATTTCTTTAATGGCTCTAAGACTATTAAACTTTTACTTGCTCTTTGAGTAAAGTTTGGAATTTGTATTTTTAAAGGATTTATCTATTTTGTCGACATTTTCAAGATATTTGACATTACTGTTGCCCCTAAAAACTTGTCACCTTTTTAAATCTCTGTAGCATGTAATGTCTCTTTTTTATTACAAATATTTTTTATTTTGTGTCTTCTATCTGTCTTTCAGTTGATCTAGCTAGAAGTCTTTCTGTATTATTAATCTGTCCAAAGGCTTAATTTTTGGCTTTGTTGATTCTCTCTATGGTATGTTTTTGCTTCTCATTGTTATGATTTTATTTTAAATATTTCTTTCCTCTTATTTCCTTTGTTTTTGATTTTCTGTTCTTTTTCTAAATTTCTGGGTTGCACACTAAACTTATTAATGTTGAGCATTTCTACTTCTCTAATGCAGGTATTTCATGATATATATTTTATTCTATGTATCAATATAGCTATGCCAAGTATTTTTTGTTGTGCTGTGTGTGTATATATTTCTTTCATTTTTTTGTGTCTTTTTTTTCCTTTTACTTTTTTCTCCTCAACTTGTTTAGCAGCTATGTGTTCCACATCTATTCTTCTAGAAGTATCAAAACATTTACCTTCATCCTGAAAATTACAAGAACCTTAAAATGCTTTAACTTTGATCATACTTCCTTTCTAATTTACATACAGTGGTACCTGATATTTTAATTCTGCTAATCTTTAAAGACAGAAATTAAATGCTACTACTTTATTCAATCATTGTTGAGATTTAATAAAAAATTTAATGATATCTCCGCTTATGATCCCTTCTCATACTCAGACCTTCTCCCTGGTATTATCTTTATTCTGCCTAAAATACATCCTCAGACTTTCCATTACTAAGGATTTGGTATGACAAAATGATTTTTAGTTTGTTTCTTTCTCAGTTTTTGTTACAGAAATTCAGTTTTACTTCATTTACTCAAAAGAAGAAAGTAGTAGTTTAAAAGACAGGCTGTGGGACTGAGGGAGGGAGAAAAGAGAATTCATCTTAAAAGGTAGCGAGTTTCTGTTTGGGATGATGAAAAAGTTGTGGAACTTGATAAGGGTCATAGTTGTACAATGTTGTGAATGCACTTAATGTCACTGAATTGTATACTTGAAAATAATTAGAATGGTTTTATGTTATTGTGTTTACACACAGACACACACACACACATACACGCACACACACACGTGTGCACACACAGGTTCTGTGTGTGCATGTATAAATGTACCTGTATTCAAATAGCCCATCTCTTGCTAACAGTGATTTTCAGGCAAGTAAATTAACCCTGCTCTGCCTTTCTTATCTGTCAAATGGAACTGTACATGAGGTAGACTGCCTACCTCAGGGTTTTTATGAGGACTAAATGAGGTGGTATATGTAAAATGATTAAAACGAGGCTGGTTTATATTCACTATTTAGTAAGCATTAGCTATTATTATTGTTCCTTGTTCCTTATATGCAGGGATCACTATGCAGTGATAACAAAGACAACACAGGCCTAGGGAGGCCATGGAATTCACTCCAAGCTTAAACACAAGCTGAAAAACGTCTATGCTGCTTCCCCTGAAATCACGGCTGCATACCCAATGGTCTTACACAATTCAGACTTATTTCCACTCACCTTTTTCTGGGATATGAACATGTGACTTTAATTTCATCATTTAAAAACTAAGTTTCGCCAGGCGTGGCGCCTGTTGTCCCAGCTACTCGGGAGGCTGAGGCAGGAGAATGGCGTGAACCCGGGAGGCGGAGCTTGCAGTGAGCCGAGATTGCACCACTGCACTCCAGCCTGGGCGACAGAGCGAGACTCCGTCTCAAAAAACAAACAAACAAACAAACAAACAAACAAACAAACAAAAACAAGTTTCAGTTTAATAATTTAGTGTTTAAGATGGTTTATGAAACAAAAGTCATCATCCTGTGAGGGTAACTGTCATACCATTTCATGTTAGTATTAGAGTACTTGAGTACTTGTTAGAGAACAAATCTTTGGCTACCTTTCAATTCTTGTAATAGCCTGAAGGTGCTTGTGAGTAGGATGACTTTTGGCTGTTTTATGTATTTGTCCGTAGTTCTGAACAAAGATATCTGTTTAACCTGGATGTGAAGGCCCGGTCTATTTTCATTCTTTAAATATTTTTTTTTCTTTCTTGTTTTGATGTCTTGAAAAAAAAAAATTAAAGATGTCATTGTAGTTTATGAAGAAAAATAATAGGAAGTTACACGATATAAACGTAGCTTATTTCTTAATCTGCAGATTTTATTGGGCATAGAGTATATATTTTTGAATACAGTTAGGAAATTGCTAAAGATTTAATCAATATGAAAGAATTAATGTTATCTCCATTCTTGTAAGAGAGATATTCAACTGCAGTCATTAAAATTGCTAACCTTATTTATCAGGCAGTCCAAGTATCTTTTAAAGGTATGTAGAATGTTTAAAATACTTATACATGCATAGACTGGAAAGAGTTTATATTGAAATTTACCCAGTTGTTTGGTTTGGAAAAAAATGTAAACCTCTGTAATCACATTTGTAATATGAAAATTATTAGTGAAGACAGAAAGTATCTAACTGATTGAGAACTCATAAACAGAGAAAAAGCTTCTTTCAGGCACCCACAGGATATCAGAGCTCTGCAGCCCCTTGACGCTGAGAGTCCCTCCCAGGCACAGCCACTTCAAAGCCTCCCTTTTTCCCAGCTGGCTCTCCACTTCGTATGAATTCCGCTAGGAATATTTCACCAAGCTGGAAGATAAAAATACCTTTCAGTGTCAAAACCTCACAATTTTTAATAATAAGGTGTATTAATTGGCTTTTCTGCTTTTGTTTTTTAAATAGGGCAGCACGGCCTAATAACTCAGAGCTGGCATATCTTTTGGTGGTCAAATGTAAGAAATCCACGAATTCCTGCTTTTTAATGTTATAAATAGAGCAAGATCTGGTGGCCGTTGATTTTCGAACCAATTAAAGTTATGCCACAAAAAACTTAGTGATGACTACTGTATACTGCTGGTTTTATGTCATATTTTAAGGGCAAATTAAATTAAATCTCTCTAGGAGAGATTTCATATTCATTGTTTGTTCGTAGTTTTTGTTTGTTTTGAGGCACATGGGACCTGGAAGAATAACACTCACTTTCAAAATTAGCATCTTCAAAGATGAAGTATTGGATTTTAAATCCCCAAACTGCTGAATCATAGGGCTGCAAGGGATCTTGTTTTGTATTTTTATTCAGTTATTTTGCCTTTTAGAAGGATGTATGTAATGTAGTCAAATAAGGTTATAGTCCGTATTGAAAGTTTCTCCAAAGAAATAAATGTAATATACAGTTCACTTTTTCCAATAGTAGACAGAGTTATTTGCCTTACAGAAATAGAGAAATCTAAGTTAACGGTTTACTTTCTCCTTACTTTTGAATGTAATGTCTTCTGTCTTTTATTGTTCAGAAGTTTGTTGTCAGTCTATTGTTGATCCCTTGTAAATAATCTGTCCTTTTTTTCTGGTTGCTTTAAATACCTTCTCTATGACTGTAACTATACAGTTTCAATATTATTTGTTTATCTATCTATCTATCTATCTATCTATCATCTATCTATCTATCTAGATACATGTCTACCTATGTATCTATCTATCTATCTATCATCCATCTATTATCTACCCACCCATCTATTAATCTTGAGAGGATCTTTTGCTTTTTGACTCATGAATGACAGCCTGAATACATTATCAATTAGTAACATTCACAGCCATTATATTTTTGAGTAATATTTCTACATTCCCTCTGTTATCACTATCCAGAACTCCAAATAGCTGTATATTTGAACATCTCATCTTGTTTTCTTTGATGCTTAAATAGTCTTTTATTTTCCTAATTCCTTATCCCTCTTTGATACATTTTAGGTATTTTCCTTATCTTTCAATTTGTCAATTGTGCCTTATATTTTGTTTTATCTCCTGTGTCATCTGCCTATTAAGATTTAATTTCTATGATTATATTTTTTACTTTTACAAGTTTGAATTGTTCTTTCTCAAAGCTAGCCAGTATTTTTCCATTGTGTCTTGTTCTTTTTAGAGGTTGATTTCTCATTCAATAATTTTAAACATGCTCATTTCCAGAGGGTTTATCAGAGTCTTTTATAATATAAAGTTTGTGGGATTCTAATCCTTTTGGCTGTCCCTGCTAATCATTGCTCATAGTGGAATATTTAAAAGTAACTTTAAATATATCTTTAGCATTGCAATTTTAGTGTACTTCTAGGTATGTAGTGAGCTTAGGTGGAAGTCGTGGCACTCCAATGCAGATTTGCTTTTGCTTCTACCAGATACCCTACAAGCTATCAACACTCAGAATCATTTTGCTATTGTTGCTAATATCTTGGCTTGGGAGTTCCTAAACAAACTAGTAGGAGAATTCTGAACTGCAAATCCATGCAAGGTGCTGGTCAATGGTTTTTGATACTCAGGGGAGAGTCTCTTTTTTTCCCTACCTAAGCCCATGGCAGAGACATAGCTTCCTTGTTATTTTGTATGTGAGTATATTTTTGCCTTAGTCTACTTGTCATTGATAGTGAAATATTTTGAGGTCCCAGATTTCGGTAGGGGTTTTAGTTCTAACTTCCCCTCCTGTTTGGGCCCAAGGCCTCATTTCTTGTCACTCATGGTATTTAAACCCAGGCTGTAAGTTTATGGAAGCTGTCCACATCTATCATCCACGGCAAGGATAGCTGCCAGGATATTCGCATACTGCTTTAGTTTTTCAACTCTCTTTTGTTTCTGACTCCTGAGTATTCCTATTCTTGGACTTTCAACTATGGATCTAGGTGGATTTTATCCAGCGTTTCTAGGTGTTTGCATCCGGATAATTTTTAGTTTATCATTTTCCACCATCTTGTTAGAATATGTCATATAGCTACTAAATGCTGCTCCCTCAAAAAGCCAGCTGATGCTTTAAAATGACCTCTTCCTAAGCAAAATGCCATCTTTCTCCATGGCTTCTCTTCGAAGTGAGTATAGTTGTAGTTATAATTTGTTGAATTATTACCATATATTTATGCTTCAATTATATTATTTAATGCTCACATAAAAACCTGAAAGGTTGGGTTTATATGCATTTTATAAGTGAGGATATTGAGACTCAGAGAGGTTAAGTGACTTGCCCAAGGTCATACAGTAGAAAAATATCACAGGCACGATGTCAGTGGAGGTCTATTCAATGCAAAAACATTGCTTATAAACATTTACAGGTTGAGTATCCCTTATCCCAAATGCTTGGGACCAGAAGTGTTTCAGATTTCAGGTTTTTGAGGGGTATTTTAGAATATGCACATATACATAATGAGAAATCTTGGGGATGGGACCCAAGTCGAAACACAAAATTTATTTGTGTTTCATACACATTTATACACATAGCCTGAAGATAATTTTACACAAGATTTGTAATAATTTTGTGCATGAAACAAAATTTTGACTGCAACCCATCACATGACGTCAGGTATGAAATTTTCCACTTGTGATATTGTGTTTTACCGAAAACAGCTTTGGATTTTGGAAGATTTTGGATTTCAGATTTTCAGACTAGGGATGTTCAACTTGTGTCTATGTGGCCAACAGAGATAATTAGTTTCAAGAGAAACTATTTGATATGAATTATCTGGTATGCTCCTTGTAAAAAGTTTTATAGCCATTAATATTTGGCTTTAGAATATGCTATTTATATGTATATATTCACATGCACACATGGAATTTTTAAATTTAAATAATGATCCCTTCCCATTAATGTTTGACTTTAGAATGCATTTTATGAGTTAACAAATTTTCTCCCTGTTTCCTAGCCAGACATTAAAATTAATCAGAGCCTATTTATCACTAATGAAAATTCACAGAGTGCCTTATAAATATATTCTTTCATTTAGCTATATGACAAGGCAATGCTAGCAGTGACTGAATGGCACAATTGTCTATAGGATAATGCCTACAGTTTTCAGCTTGTCACATGAAACCTTTGTGAACTATTCCCATCTTGTTATTACTCACCCTCCCAAACATTGTCCTATGCTTTCAAAGTGAGAGGTGAACTAGGAAGTGACCCACGGAATGCTCCTTCTCATTCTAATTTAGTAACTAGATGGGTTGGGGCCAGTTGCTTAGACAGAGAATGTTGGAGGTGAGGATCTGGTCTGGGGACTGGAGGAGAAAACAAATAAGCATTGAGCCTAATAAGTTTTAGCTCTGGTGGGACATCGAAGTGAAGATGTCTAGGAGGCAGTTTGGTTGTGGAAAAAAGGGGAGAAAGCTTTGGCCTCTATCTTCCCAATTACAGTGAATTTTCTGGGCAGCAGGGGTTGAATTTATATTTTACAATGTCCCAACACAGTGCCTTGCTCAATAGGCCCTCTTAGTCTAGCATCTGAGTCCTTGAAGTTATTTAGCTACATTATCTCCATGCATTTCCGGAACACTCTATTTACCTAAGCCTTAGCCCTTTTCACACTACATGCCTTAGATACTATCACACTGTTTTGAAACCTTCTGCTTAATTTGTGTTCTCCCCACTGGACTATAAGCTTTTGGAGAACAGGGACAGCTGTCTTGTCTATTGTCACAAATAGTACCTGGTGCTAAATACACACTCATGGACTAAATGAGTAGATGCTGACTAATTATAGTTCTAATTCAATACAGCATTACAAAAGCACAGCAGGTAAGGAAGGAAGCCAGGGAATTGTTATGGGGGAATGAATAGTAAAAAATTAGGGCATTCTCTTTGAGCTAGGTCAGAAGAAAAGTGCCATGAAAGATAAGCTTCATGAAATGCACTTGTTTGGAATTATTTCTTAGTATTTAACTCGGGAATAAACTGGAGTAAGCTCACTTATTTCTGCTCTTATTATACTTTGGTGTTCTATGCACTCCAGTTCCTTATTCATTTTTCACAAGTTAAAAGGGTTATTGGGAATTATACAGAGAGGTCTTCCATTGCTATGAAAGGAATGCGTGTTGGTAACTTCCATTAACATTTATCAAAGTTTATATATCCTTAACTCAATGTAAACAAAATGCTTCAAATTTATGTCTCTTACAAACTTTATCATTAATAATTTTCCTATTTAAATGACACAAAAAGGTACATGCTTTAAAACTATATTAGTTGTTTAAAAATGTCAAGAAAGTTAAAGTTTATGTAGTCTGCCACCTGCTTAATGCCTGTAAAATCATTCCTGCTGGAGATACTGAATTGTTTTCCATTATATTAACACTGCATGAATAAAAATCGAAGCCTTTTAAATCACAAGTTTCATAAGGTGTTGATTGGCGTGGAGCAGGATAAATTCAGACAAATATTTATGGTGCCAAGAGTTGTGTATATAGATAATCTTCCTTGAAAATGTTTCTAGTGTACTGTTAAACTGCCAAGGTGATATAATTTAACAGTTAAAGCAGTGAATAGAGAGCCAGGGGTCACTGAGTTTGAATTCTTTCTTCATTCCTACTTTAATATTTGATCCTGAACCATTTGGACCTTACCAAAGTCAAATTTCTACTTTGTGAAATGAGGAAAAATTAACCGTTCAGTTGCTGGGGCATGAGGATAGGGTCCGTGGTTAAAGAGACTTTGAAAATATACAATTACTATTAGAATGTAGACAGTCACAACATTGCTTTAATAGTTCATTCAGGCTGGTATAACAAGGTCATTAAACCAAATCATGACTTAATCACCTCCCAAAGTCTCCACTTCTTAATACCATCACCTTGGCAGTGAGGATTTCAACATATGAGTTTTGAGAAGACATAAACATCAGACCATAACAATTGTCATGTATGAGGGAATTGGTTTGCATTTATTAATCTTCACAAAGCATCATCAAGTTAACTTGCAGTAACACTTATTACTATTTACTGACTTCTTGCTGTTACTCAGACACTGCCCTAAGTGTTCTATGTACCCCGTTTACTCCTTGTAACAAGGAGTTAATAATACCTTTGAGGCAGGTATTATTCCAATATTACTGAGAGTAATATTAAAGGAGGTGAATGAGCTCAACATTACCCAACTTGAAGATGGCAGAATCACATTCAAACCCACGTGATTCTGAAGCCAGAAGTCTGCATTTTTATATTCCATGCTACGATGTCTCCATGCTTTGCAGATGAGGTATCTGAGGCTTAGAAAAGTCAAGCAGTTTGGTGAAGATCACAAGCTAACATACTGGACTGGAATGAAAGCCCTGATGTGTCTGACAAGGCAGCTCTAGCTATTTGTATTATTGCTCCTCTAATATTATTAATGTGCTTGGTATCTTTTGCATCACTTTTCTCTCTTGGATTACTAAGATAATTAGAGTCAGTGTTCTGCTGAATGCCTTGACCTTCCTAATCTCAGAAGCCCAATCTTGCTAATGAATTCTACTTTGGGGGATATGAAGGTGGATTATGCATCAAAGGTGGAATCAGTTGCATTTAAATCTTTTGGAATTCAGTTCCTTATTGCTTAAATGAGGGGTTAGGATAGTAGAATCTGTGGGTTTTTACCTCCATTATAGTTTAGCGTCTTTGAGTGCAATGAACAAATGTGGTCCGTCTACTGAGGCCCTGGTGCCTAACTTTGTAGATATACCAAAAATATTCATCGGCTTTAATGAAGTTGCATTAAATTCCTTGATTTTAAGACTAGGTAAAACAAAATTTCTACTCTATTTCATTTCTTTTTAAAATGGCAAATATGTTATTTTCTTTACAAGATGAAAGGAATTAATATAGTGGCCAAATGATTTACTTAAATTGTTTATTACATCTTTGTTCGTTAGACAGAACATGTGAGGTAGTGGCAGGATCAAACTACTTAGGTAGATCCATTTAGAATAATTCATTTGCTTAATCCAGACGAAGCTGCCAAACCAGTCATGCTGTCTTGCTAAGACTATTGAGAAGAACATACACTGTGGAGAAGAACATTCACAGAGAGTGTAAAATGGTTAAACAGTAAAGCCCCAGGTAGTTGCAGCCATGGGATATATTGATTAGGGACATGAAAGTAGTGTCAGAGAGCCCAAGGATCTCAGCATAAATGGGCTTATTTTTAATTCTGACTTTGCACTGCTCTCTTAAGACAGTCGTAGAGCGTGATGATTGCTTCTAACTTAACAGCATTTACACTAACACGATTTCACATGGGTAGAGGAAGAATGGAAAGTTTCTTCAGCATTAAGTTACATGTTTCTAGGGAAGTCCAATGCCAGCAGCAGCAATAGTTACATCTGAGATCCTGCCACTTGTTGCCACAATACAGGACCCTTCCAGTTGGTCCCATGGTGCCTTTAGTAGGTAGAATAGTGCTGTCTAAATATGTGCGTGCTCTAATCTTTGAAACCTGTGAATGTGTTACCATGCAGGGCAAAAGGGACTTAGCAGATGTGATTGTTTCCAGACCTTGAGATGGGGGAGATTATCTTAAGTTATCTTTGTGGGCCCAATGCAATCACATGAGTCTTTAAAAGCAAAAAACCTTTTCTGGTTTTCTGGTGGCCAGAGAGATGTGATGAGAGGACTCAACCCATTGTCGCTGGCTTTGAAAATAGATTAAAGAGGCCACAAACCAAGAAATGCGGGTGGCCCCTAGAATATGGAAAAGGTAAGAAAACAGGTTTTTTTCCTCCCTAGAGTCTGCAGAAAGAAGTGTGGTTCCTTTGATTTTAGCCTGGTGAAACTTGTGTTGTACTAATGATCTGTAAAACCATAAAATAATAATAAACTTCTGTTTAAGTGGCTATATTTGTGATAATTTGTTAGTGAAGCAATAGAAAACTAATACAGTGTCATTGTACATGATTATTTCCTGAATCACAGCAATGAGATTCAATAAGAATTGCCTTTTGAAGGATGTGTTAGGTATGGTGTTATGCTATATGTGTGTGTGTGTATAATTATCATGCAACAACCACCCCCTAAAAATCTACATTATTGTCTCCATTTCATAGATGAAAGAACTTACATAAGTTCTTTTTTGAAAGAACTTAAAGTAACTTACATAAATCACATATCTAGTAAATGATGCAACAGTTACTTGAAACCAGGTCATTCTGGAGTCAAAACCCATAGTGGGTCTACAATACCCTTCATATACAAAATGTTAGGATTATTTTTCTTTATCAGAAGGTGTTTAAAAGCAATCATGTTCATGTAAAATAGACTTTGTTACGTCAGATCTTTCCTTTAACCTTAGATGTCAAGTTATTTTCTCCAGAAGAGTGCCTGGTATATTATAGGCATTCAACATGTGGTGATAGGGTGAATGATTGCTGTTTAATAGACATGTGTGATATACGTATATATTATTACGTTTACTGTATTCTGTGTACATATTATATTACACTATACCTGTATATGTATAGGTATCAGCTTTTTTTTTCCTCTGTAAAAATAGGAGAGAGATGTTACTTTTGCCACTGAAAAATCAGGGATTCTAATAGGTTTCTTCTACATTTATAACATTTGAAGTTATAATTACATATTATTTTTAAGAATTTATTTAGGCCAGGGGTGGTGGCTCATGCCTGTAATCGCAGCACTTTGGGAGGCCGAGGCAGGCAGATCACTTGAGGTCAGGAGTTCGAGACCAGCTTGGCCAACACAGAGAAACCCTGTCTCTACTAAAAATGCAAAAAAATTAGCCAGGCGTGGTGGCTCGCACCTGGAACCCAGCTATTCAGGTGGCTGAGGTACCAGAAATGCTTGAACCCGGGAGGCAGAGGTTGCAGTGAGCTGAGATTTTAACAATGCACTCCAGCCTGAGTGACAGAGCGAGGCTCTGTCTCAGAAAAAAAGAAAAAAAATGTGATTTGGAGGTCATGTGTGGTTTATTTTCATAATTAGAATCAGTAATGAGAGTATATTTAATAAGGTAAAGAGACTAAAGTGGAGGGAATCTTTATGAATTTAGATATTAATGTTATTTTTCATTAGAATACTTTTAAAAGATTACAAACAAGGCAAGGAAAGTTAAATGACCTTTGCTTTTTCAGGCCAAGGGTTTCATTTTCTTTTTAAAATTGCTAGTAAAATTAGAAAGATAATAGCATCTAATTAAACTATATTCATTTTATTTTAAAGTCTACACTAACAGCACAAACTTACCAATAATAGTGCAACCCAAACTTCATTGTATATTAGTCCATCTTTAAATGATTACTAGATGCCTTAAGGAAGAATCTAGATGCTACAGAAACTTCACTTTCATAAGGGCGTCAATTACAACTAAATTGGTAAAAAGGATTGTTAATTAAGAAGCAATCATTCATATAACCTTTCTTAAAATAACCTTTCATTGTACATTTCCTTCCAACTATTTTGTAACAAATTTCAGTGAAGACTCCCAAATGAAAATAGGGATTCATTTTATTAATTAGAAAAGTAATTCCTATCCTTTTACTAAGATGACAAATGTTAATACTTGACAACAAAATAATCATGGGAAATTGGGAATGCTATTTTGCATTTAGTAGAAATTTATTGAGTAGCTAGGAGCAGGATACTTAACCAGACACTAAAGTAATTTTTAAAATACTTAGTTTTCTATCTTCTAACCTACATCTCCTCATTTCCTCCCCCTCTCCCTCCCACCCTGGTAACCACTGTTTTGTTCTTTCTCTTATATTTGAATTTTTGTTTTAGATTCTACGTATAAGTGAGATCATGAAATATTTGTCATCTGTCTGCATAATGTCCTTCAGCCTCATACATGTGGCAAATGGCAAGATCTTGTTCTTTTTTAGGGCTGAACAATATTCCATTGTATGTCTGTACCACAGTTTCTTTATCCATTCATTTGTTGACAGATACAGAGGTCATTTGCATATCTTGGCTATTGTGGCTACTGCTGCATTGAACATGAGTATGCAGATATGTTCATGTGCTAGTGACTTTATTGCCTTTGGGTATACACCCAGAAGATGGATTGCTGGGTCATATAGTAGTTCCATTTCTAATTTCTTTAGAAATCTCCATATTGTTTTCCATAATGGCTGTAGCAACCTAAATTCTCATCAACAGTGGACAGGAGTTCCCTTTTCTTCACATCCTTGCTGACATTTGATATCTTTTGTCTTTTTGTTATCAGCCATCCTAACGGGAAGTGAGGTGGTATCTCATAGTGGTTTTCATTTGTGTTTCCCTTTTATTAATGTGAAGCACCTTTTCTCATACCTGTTGGCCATTTTTATGTATTCTTTGTAGAAATATCTAGTCAGGTCTTTTTCCCATTTTTTAACTTGGTTATTTGTTTTTTCACGATTGAGTTCTCTGCAGTCTAGAGATCTAATTTTGTAACACGAAGATCATGGGCAGTAAATTTGTACTGTATGCGAGTTTCATGCTAAATTAGTAGATTTTAGCTGCTATTGCCACCAACACACACATACACACAATATGTAACTGTGCGAGGTTATAGATATGTTAATTTGTTTCACTACAGTAACCTTTTCAGTGTCTCTATATCCCATAACATAATGTCGTAGACTTTAAATATAAACAATGAAGAAAAACTATGACCATTCCGAATTGAAGGCAGAAACTTTAACAAATATTTGTACATCCACATTCATAGCAGCATTGTTCATAATAGCCAAGAAACCACTTATGTGTTTATCAGTGGTTAAAAGGATAAACAAAATGTGGTGTGTGTATATGTAATTTTTATATGCACACACACACACACACACACACACACACACACACACACACACACACACACATACAACGGAATGCTATTCAGCCTTAAAAGGGAAGGGAATTCTAACACATGGGAATTCTGACAGGTACTAAAACATGAATGAACTTTGAAGACATTATGCTAGCTGCCATAAAAGAGTCATAAATGGACGAATATTGTATGAGCCAACTTATATGAGGTAACTAGAGTAGTCAAATTCGTAGAGATAGAAAAGAGAATGGTAGTTGTCAGTAGCTGGGAGGAGTGAGAATGAAAAGTTAGAGTTTAGTGGTTACAGAGTTTCTGTTTGGGAAGATGAAAACGTTCTAGAGATGAATGGTTGCTATGTTGCAGAACAATGTGAATACGCTAATGCCACAAAACTTCACACTTTAAAATAGTTCAGATGGTATTTTGTATTATGTATACTTTACTAGAATAAAATATTTTTCAGTTATTAACAAAATCTTAGTTGTGATATTAACATGCTGATTTATTAAAAGCCTGTAACACTATTATTAATATACATAAATTATATTTGTATATTTTAATCATATAGAATTACACATAATTTTTAAAATTATATATTCTATAATGTATTAGTGCCTAAATAATAAACAATGTGAAATTCTTCACATTGAAGACCAAAGGTATGAAACGTGTGTTTTATATGACAACAATCTAGATTGTGGCATATATCAAATATATTGATTAGCCAATTCAAATATTTTGTAATGACTAAATAGTTACAGCCATGGAAGTAGGGGTGGATTTTGTCAGAAGAGTAAAAAATAGGGAACATTTCAGATGGTAATATTCATGGTAATTTAGAGAATTCAAATCAGAAGTCAATCATGGAACCCAGTCAGATCCATGGAGTACCAGTACCCGGAGGGTGGTCATCAAAATTGAAATGAGACTTGGGGCACAGGGAGAGACATTTGAACCATGTGAGTTCAGGAAGCACTTCCTCGTACCAGTGGCCCAGAAGGAGTGGTTTAGAAGGAGACAAGAACGAATTGAAGCCCATGAAAAAGCAGCAAATGTCTTGGCAACTTGTAGAAAATTACATTTGCTTTCACCTCTTCCCCTCCTGAGGAAAAACTGCTTCTGTGCATTTTCAGGGGAATCCCTTTCCATGTGAGAGAGGAATTCTCATGGCTTTCACCTGCTTTGGGATGTTGCTTCCTAATTATCCTTTGCCATCTTTCTCCCCACTCTCTCTTTTACACCCTTCTCTTGATTATGACGAAATCAAGTTTATCCACAAAAATGCTACCCTAAGCCTTCCTGCTAATTTTTATTTTAAAGTTATCTAGTTGATTCCTTTTTCAATCTTATAAATTTTTTAATTCCCTGAAAATAACCACATGTATTGAACTCAAAATGTTATAGTTTCTGTAACTCTTGGTTTGCATAAACCCTAAAATGAAGTAATGTGTACATTAATTATATGCTTTGCCATTTACTTGTGGTTTCTGTGAAAGCAAATGCCACTATTTTTAGTTCCTGATCTTAAAATTACTCTTTCTCAAATGCTGTTAAACCTTAATGAATATCCAAATTCATATAAATTATTTAAGCTATAATTTCCTATACTAAACAGTCATTAGATTAACGTACATCCTTAGGGCTCTTCCCAGCTGTACCAAATTAGCTTTTTTTGAATACTTTTAGATTTGAAGCAATGCAGAAAGTATTGCTCTTCTAAGTTGTCTTATAAGGTTACAAACAGCAATTTGACTTAAAAATGCCATTGAGAATGTTTCCTCCAGTTAGTATTCATGCAATAAAACCTCATGTTTTTCCCTAAGAATTATTGAATTTTAAAAACATATCCTAATCTTTTCATTTACATACAAGTGAGGAAACTAAGATATAGAAAGTTTGGATGAAGTCCTCAGCATTTCAAAGAAGTCTGTATATTGAAATGTTCTCTTCCTCCTTTCTTTCCTCTTCTTTTTTTTTTTCTATTAAGAAAGCAAGTACGACAGAACCATCTTAGTTTGGATAGTAATTCTCACTTACAAAAAAATGTAAACTAATTGAAATGATGGAAATCAAAAATGAAAACATTCGTTTAAATCTTTATTTTTTAAAACTAACACATATTTAAGAATGTATAAATTCCGGTGTGTATCTGTCAAGGTATTCCTGATTTTATTTTTCACTACACTCTTTTCCTGAGTGTTTTCATCCCTAGAAGACATACTCACATGGAGGAAGCATCTTCATGTTATTCCAACAAATGCATTTTTCTTAAATTTCCCCTTTCTAGCCTCTAGATATAGGGTGTCTTCCTGTTTCTATCTCACACCTTTTAGAGATTCTTTTCACATACTTCACTGTGTAGTTATTAATGTTTCTTCTCTGACAATTCTTTATTTCTCTTCCCTTGAAAGAGAACCCTGCTGCTGTCATTACTTTTCCTTCAGATTTCCTTCAGATCTCTCCTTTTGCCAGCTACCCAATTCCCAGTTTACAGGGAACCCGCTGATGGCAATATTTCTTTCCTTTATTTTTTTTGATTCAGAATACTCAGACTGCTGTTTGAATAATAATGATGATAGGTATATTGTATTTACAAATTACTGGTTATTTGGTGATTTCAATGTAATTTATGTGCATGAATTCATTAGTAGTCTCAATTTTCACACGACGTGTTGGAACAACTTGTGTTTTTTCTCAGTGAGGAAATGAAGGACGAAAGGAAGACAAGATTAGGGACTAACATTATCTATTAGCGTGATGTAGGCACAGTGTCCAATAGAATAGGGTTTGTCTTAGTCCATTTTGTGTTGCTATAAAGGAATACCCGAGGCTGGGTGTTTAATAAAGAAAAGAGATTTACTTAGCTCATGGTTCTGCAGGCTGTACAAGAAGCATGGTACCCACATCTGCTTTGGGGGAGGGCCTCAGGAAGCTTCCATTCATGGAGGAGCGGAAGTAGGCATTACATGGTGAGACAGAAGCAAGAGAAAAGAGAGAATGGTGTTAGACTCTTTTTAAGAGCCAGCTCTTGTTGGAACTTCTAGTGAGAACTCACTTAATCCTTTAAGAATGGCACCAAGTCACACATGAGGGATCCATCCACACACCTCCCGCCAGGCCTCACCTCCAACACCGTGCATCAAATTTCAACATGAGATTTGGAGGGGACAAATGCACCAACTATAACAGGGACTTTTTTGCGACAATATAATAAACATGTATTTCAAAAATTTGATAATTTCGGTAATTTTAAGAAAATGATATTAAGTGAAGACAGATTACCAGGATTTTAATTTTATTCCATGAAATTCTACTTTCAATTTTCCTTCCCCTACTAGCATTTCTAGGTGCAGACGAGGCATTTGGGGCATAGAAGATCACACTCTTCTTCCGCCATGTCTTAAGGTGGGTTTAATTTTATCTTTTTGGTTTATTACATTGCCCTTCACATTTGCATCTCAGTCTTTTATCCCAAGTTGTGGCCTGATTATAATTATGATGGATACCAAAGAAATTTTAGGAGCTATCTTAACGTTTCCTAAAAGCAGAACTTGGCATAGTGATTTTTGTGCAAATGGTCTGTTGGAAGAGTACATGCAGGAGAAAGGAAGAAAGGGAAGCAAAGCAGGGCAGGGAAGAAGCTCCCAATCAAAGCAAGATTTCAGAGGCAAACTCGGAAACTCACTCCAGCTCCCCAGAGAGAGCCCACAACACCTGAATTGCACCCATTTTGCAGTAGGGGTTTGACCTGTTGTACCTCCCTGACAGCCATTTATTGTTGACTGCCTTGGGGGCAGAGTGTAATCTCTAAGGTAAGGCAGTTCTCTGAAGTAGGAGCAGCTCTGGGCCCTCAGTAACCTTACAGCAGCTGGAGAACAGGTATTTTAGACTGGAAAAGAAGATTGGAATGTGTGTATGGTTGAACTTTGGCAGTGTAGCAAACCACCTAGAGGCTTAAAACTGCAGTGACTGAGTTCATTTCAGATTTCTTCACGTTGTTCATGTAGTGGGGCAACTGGACCATCCTGTAGGTCTCAGGAGGTTTCAGCTGATCTAAGCTGGGCTTGCCCCCATGTCTGGGGCCTTAGCTGGGATGGCTGGGGCAGTTGGCACGGCTGAGACCTCTCTTCACATAGTTTCTTATCTTCTATCATAGGGATCTGAAACTGTGACCCATGGGCCAAATCCAGTTTTTTTTCTTGTTTTTGTAAATAAAGCTTTATTGGAGTACATTATTTTATATATTGCCTGTATCTGCTTTATCAGTAAAATGAAAGAGTTAGGCAGAGACTGTACAGACACCAAAGCTAACATATTTACCATCTGACTCTTTATATAAAAAGTTTGCTGACCCCTGATTCATAAAGGTAGCTCAGGCTTGCTTGTGTGGTGGGAGAGTTCTCAGTGCAAGAGTGCAAGCTGCAAGGCTTCTTGAGATCCAGGCTTGGGGCATACACAAGGTTACTTCTGCCACATTCTGTTGGTCAAAGGAAGTCATGAGGCCAGTTCAGTGCCAAGGAATGGAGAAATAGACTCCACCTGTTGATGGGAAGAACTAAAAAAAAAAATGTGTGGCCATTGTTTGCTGTCTACCATGGTGAGGCCCCAACAACATCCCCTACAGAATTCAGCCTTGTCCCTGTCCACTGCAGGTAAGGAGACTGAGATGAAGACAGGAGATATACGTCAAATATCATACAACTTGTTAAAGGAAGAACTCAAACTAGAATCTAGGTCTCCTGATCAATATCCTGCTACTATTTGAACTCTGTCATGGTGACTTTACTATATCATTACCTGCCAGAAGCATCTATTTTTGGCTATTGAATGTTACTCCTCAGAACTTTAACAAATTCTACAACACACCAAAGAAAAATGGAATCAAACTCATGCTGAAACCTGCTTCCCCACATCCTGGATTGATGTACACCTACTCTTTGTCTCGTATTGTTTTCAAAGCCAGCTGCCTTCATTGATACTGTTTATGAAATGTATCTCCATAGATTTCAACACAAATTTATTGGCAAATTCTATTTATCTTCATTTTTTTTTCTTTAACAAGTATCTGTTAAATAGTTAGAATAAACCAAACCCTATGCTAAGTCATGGGAAATAAAAATACATCAAAATGCAGTCTGAGACCTCAAAGAGCTTTATAATGAAAAGTAGTGGTTTCCAACCTGTGTATATTACAGACCTCCAAGGATGATAGAAATGAGAGTTGCATTTTCTGTAGATTGACTCATGCTTCACAAATTACCTACATAATTACTTTTCAAAAAGGTGTGTAGATACTTTTATGACTAATAAAATACAAGTGTATGAATGTCTACTTGTTTGTCATGACATTTGCCACTCAATATTGTTAAGAGTGGCAAACTCTTAATATTTTTGAGCATGAGCCCTGAATGTCCCCACACACTGCAAGGTGTATCCCACTACTGGTGACCCATTTCTGTAGCTAGTAATACAGGCAACTGGTAGGTAAAGGGATCATAGTCTGACTTCCCTGTAAATGTGTGCTACTTGGAGAGAAGAGGACTGACTATTATTTGCTACAAAGTTTGCTACTTGCTCAAAAATAATGCTGGAGGCTAGGTACAGTGGCTCAGGCTTGTAATCCCAGGACTTTGGGAGGCCAAAGTGGGCAAATCACTTGAGCCCAGAAGTTCAGGACTAGCCTAGGCAACATGGTAAAACGCTATCTCTACAAAAAACAAGCACAAATTAGCCAGGCATGGTGGCCTGCACCTATAGTCCCAGCTACTCAGGAGGCTAAGGATTGCTTGAGCCCAAGAGATTGAGGCTGCAGTGACCCATGATCATGCCACTGTACTCTAGCCTGGGCAATAGAGCAAGGCTTTCTCAAAAAAAAAAATTAAAAAATAATGCTGAGATGATGTGCCATATGATCCAGCAATCCCACCACTGGGTCTTTATCCAAAGGAAAATAAATCAGCATATCAAAGAAATATCTAAGCTCTCATGTTTATTGCAGCACTATACATAGTAGCAAAGATATAGAATCGGCTGGGCGCAGTGGCTCACGCCTGTAATCTCAGCACTTTAGGAGGCTGAGGCGGGTGGATCATGAAGTCAGGAGTTTGAGACCAGCCTGGCCAACATGGTGAAAACCTGTCTCTACTAAAAATACAAAAATTAGCTGGGTGTGCTGGCACGTGCCTGTAATCCCATCTACTCAGGAGGCTGAGGCAGGAGAATTGCTTGAACCTGGGAGGCGGAGGTTGCAGTGAGCCGAGATCGCGCCACTGCACTCCAGCCTGGGTGACAGGACAAACAAAACAAAAAAAAGATATAGAATAAAAAAACAAAAAGAAAAGATATGGTTGATTCCATTAACAACAATGTATTTTATATTTGAAAGTAGTTAGAAGAGATGACTTGAATTGTTCCCAACATATAGAAATAAATACTTGAGGTGACAGATACCTCAAATACCATGACTTGTCCGTTACATATTCTATCTTGTAACAAAATATCACACAAACCACATAAATATCTAAAATATTATGTATCAATTAATAATTAAATTTAGTAAAAACATAATGCTGAGCCCTAGGCCCTGGATTTCTCATATGTGAGCAAACTCAGTGGACGTGAAAGACCTATCTGGGCCTGTAATATTGCTCTGGTAGTACGGGGTACAAGGGCTATAAGCCTCAATATCCTGATGTGCTTGCTCCTTATTTCGTTACCAGGATGCAAAAGTCCTTTGTCTTTGGTCTAGGAGTCTCCCGCCTCTGCCAGCATTAATGAAACAGTAACAGGCTAACTTATTAGCTTGCAAGTAGTTAAAATCTCAGACCCTTCACAGTTCATGACAGACCTGGAAATCTTCAACATTTAATTTTTTTAGCATTAAAATGATCTCTAGTACTCCATGGGCTGGAAATCATTGGTCTGAGGTCTTAGATAAATAGAACACTATCAATTAAAAGATTTATATGAGCTAAAAAGAAAAAAGGAAGGGCATTGGAGAAGAAGAGAGTAACCATGAGCAATAGTATGGTGTAGAGGAAAAGATCAGAAGTGTGGAGTAAGAGAAATGTGCCTACTTCATTGGATAAAGAAGGGATTGAGTGAGAGAATTCTGAAAAGGTTGGTTGGGACCAGACTTTGGAGCACACTGAGTGTCAGGCAACAGGGAACTCTTAAAGCTGTTCTAGCAAGAAATGACATAATTAGTTTTTCTCAGGGAAAATTAATTTTTAGTAGGGAGAGACTGGGCATGAGAGAGCAGTAAGGAAGGTATTAAAAATGCTTTAGGCACAAGTTCTAAACTATTAGTATAAGAGGAATAAGAGGTGGACAGATGAAGATATTCCATGAAGAAAGATAAAATGGTTGGCCAGGTGCAGTGGCTCATGCCTGTAATACTAGCACTTAGGAGGCCGAGGTGGGAGGATCACTTGAGGTCAGGAGTTCAAGACTAGCCTGGCCAACATGGCAAAATCTCTTCTCTACTAAAAATACAAAAATTAGCCAGGTGTGTTAGTGCATGCCTGCAATCGCAGCTACTCAGGAGACTAAGGCAGGAGAATTGTTTGAACCTGGGAGGTGGAGGTTGCAGTGAGCTGAGATCGCACTATTATACTCCAGCCTGGGCAACAGAGCAGACTCTGTATCAAAAAAAGAAAGATAAGATGGTGTTCTAATGGATTGCCTTTCAAGGGATTGAGCAAGAAAGTCAGATAGGACTGTGGGTTTAAAGTGGGAGATAGTGAAACCACTGAAAAAAACAAAAAACAAGCAAAAAAAACCCTCATATAAACCTAGAAAGAGAGAACTCCAGGGAGTTTCAGTTGTCGGGGAAGATAATGGGTTCACTTTTATTTCATTTTGATGGAGGTTGGCAATACAACCAGCCTTCCTTCTTTCCTTTCTCTCTCTGTTACTCCATCCTTCTCTTTCTTCTTTCTTTCTTTCCACCCATCTATTATTAAATATTTAGCTTTTTGCCAGTCATGTGCTAAGACTTCAGAATAGAAATAAAAATTTTACGATCTAAGAGTGTAAAAAGGTGGATTTAAAACTTCAATATAAGGTGATGAGTTAAATAATAGAGATAATACATGCTATGAGTATAGAAAAGGAACAGCAAGCTCTGTCCAAGGGAATTGAGGAAACCATCCCAGTGGAGGTGATAATTGAGTTGGGAATGAAATGCTGGGTAGGAGCTTATCAGTGTGAATAGGGATAAGAAGAGGACATTCCAAAGCATGGGAATAGAGAATATGTGCATGGTACAACAAGGTAGAAAACATATTCAAGGAGTCTATGATGAAGGATTGGAAAAATAACTTGGCATGTCATTCTATGATATTATACTAGCTCCAACTTGGACACAATGATAACAGCTTATCTTTCTATGTGTTTACTATGTGCCATGCCTCTTATTTAAAAATGTTTTACAGGCATTACTTTTTCTAATACTCAAAATGGTGGTACAGGGTTACAGGTGAAGAAACCTAGACTAAGAACTTGACTAAGTTCATGGAGTTTATGAATGGTGGGGGTGGATTTGAACTACATCAGAGCTAGGATACCATTCTCTTTATCCTCCCTCTGTGTGGAGCTGTGCACAATGACCCTGAACCATCCAAACCCGGTTCCAGAATTGCTCTTCATCATCATGTTATACATTATCACATTCCCTTTTTATCTTGCTTATCTTATTCCTACCTACATTATCACCTTCTTAAATTGAATGAAACTTCTGTGCATCTTCTGAAACATGCAGAACTGAAGGGAACGTACGTGGATTTTTCCGGAGAGATCATCAGATTCTCAAAGGGATATGTAACAACAACAACACTACTACTATTACAAAGATTAAAAATCATTATACAAAATGGTCAACTTTAATTATTGGATGGATATTTCTGTTTTTTTTTTTTTTTGACAGAAAATCAGGAAAACAAAATAAGAGGCAGTTTTCTCAAAACATGGTCAATCATTACTCAACATAAAACCCCAATGTATATTTCAATTTGTGGTAAATCATTCAGGGTAGCAGAACTTTTCAAGTTATCTCTGCTAACTTTTCAAGTTAGTTTCTGTCTTTTGTGAAATCGAAAGAGTGATGAGGCTTCACAGTCCCTTATGGGCGATGACATTTACTATCCTGAACAGGCAGACAATCAGTAAGTGGTTCCCCCCACCCCCCCCCCACCGTTTTATTCTTTTTTTTTTTAATATTTCCACATTATTTTTGAAGCTGAATTAGAAATGCAATGCTGACTTTTTTCCTGAGTATTTTAGATATTCTTACAAAGAAGTGGAGAGAGCTTTAGATGCTAAAAACATTAGCTGGCAAGTTTTTTCTTGCACTCTTCACATTAAGCGTGTGATAAAAGGCCCACTTGAGGGCTGTGTTCAGTGCCTAAAGTGAATGCTTTAAATTTAATGATACAATCGAAATCATTTTTCCCTAGTAACTACTATTGTGTTCATTTAAATGGATTCCAGAACATTATGCTTTGTGTATAAATATAAGTGAGATGGTTTAGTTCATGTATAACAAGTATCCAGCTAATAATTTACTTTGCCCATTATTTATCTCTGTCAGGATGAATGTCTGCCTCTTTTCTGTCCCTGGTTCATAGCCATTATTTTAATAATGTTAGTTCTGCATTTTAAGAATTCCACATGTAGTTGCTGAAAATTGCTCAGAAGTACTTCATACCAGAAGGTTAAATCTTAAAGAATTTTGGTTTTGCATCTAGCAAGCTAAATTGCTCCTAACAACATTATATTAATTAATGTCAGGTCAAGCTATTTCTTTTCCTTGTATTCAATTCCAAATACCCCAGCAAATGGTTTCAGCTGTGCCAGCAACAAACTGATTTGAACAGTAGAGGCTGAATGGACTCAAATCACTTGCTATTTTGAAAATAGCTATTAATTTCAAATTTGACAGTATTTTATCAGTTTTCAGAATCACTTTTAATAATAATTCAACTCTTTCTTAAAAACTGGCTTGAAATTGCATAAATACCATCTTTTCCTATTTTGTCTAAATACATGCATGAATGTCATAAGATGGAATTGGTCAATATGTAGGGACGGATCTATCCCTGGATGGTTTTCTGCCCTTTATAAACAGTCATCCTACTTTTTAATTTTGTCAGCCTTAGAAGAGCGACAAAGCAAGCAGATCTAAGGGCAATGGGGAAGGGAGGATGCTGGGTGGATAAATCATGGCAAGTTCATCTCTTACTTAGGGATCCTCTTTTCTGGCCCTGAAATTTTGTCCTGGGCACTGCTCAGATTGTCTTTCCATATGCCATATGGGATGGAGCCATGTCTCAGGCCCACTCATGATGTGAGAACTATCCTTGTGAAACTGATTAACCAATGGGGTCTACTCGTGGTTTAGTTATACTAACCAAAGTGTTCTTACTTTGGGGAAGTTGGGGAAGTTGAAGGATCAAATGAGCTTTAAGCCATGAATTGGATTCTTCTAGGTGTAATATGTATGTGGTTATTATAGCACTAGTTATCTAAAACTTGCTCAATCATGTTGACAAGAATGAATATATCAGTTTTGTTTTGCTTTTTCTTCTTCTTCTTTTTTTTTTTTTTTTTTGGAGACAGAGTCTCGCTGTATACCCCAGGCTGGAGCGCAGTGGTGCCATCTTGGCTCATTGCAACATCCACCTCCTAGGTTCAAGCGATTCTCATGCCTCAGCCTCCCGAGTAGCTGGGATTACAGGTGCCTGCCACCATGCCTGGATAGTTTTTGTATTTTTAGTAGAGTCGGGGTTTCATCATGTTGGCCAGGCTGGTCTCGAACTCCTGACCCCAGGTGATCCACCTGCCTTGGCCTCCCAAAATGCTGGGATTACAAGCGTGAGCCACCACACCCAGCTGAATACGTAATTTTTGGAAGTCGCGCTAAGAGGAGATTATTAGTTAACATGTAGATTATAAAAATGTAATAATTTATAAAATGTTTTAAATTTAAGTAAAGATTAAATAAACATGTAAAAACTATGGGAACTTTTCAGGAAGAGTCAAGGTTCTTTAACTTAACAATATATAAATTACCATGAATAGTTTTTCTTTTCATCTTTTATATCCGAGTTAAAAGGATCCGAGGGTCACCCAATCTTCTTGTTACCAGGAAATAATTATCAATCAACTATCAAGAAATAATCCAAGAGAGGTAAAAGTAGAACAGCGTACACATTTACATTGATATATGTATGTAAAAGTGAAAATAGACCATACTCTTTTTTTTCTTTTTTTTTAAAGATGGAGTCTCACTCTGTTGCCCAGGCTGGAGTGTACTGGTGTTGTCATAGCTAACTGCAGCCTCAAACTCCTGGGCTCAAGTGATCCTCACTCCTTAGCCTTCTAAGCAGCTGGGATAACAGACGTGAGTGAATCGTGCCTAGCATAGATTATACTTTTCTTTATGAATACAGTACCTGGTCTTTTTGTCACACTTTAGACTTTGTTTAGCTTCTGCATTTTTATTTGGTATATTTCTCCAGGCCAAGGAAAGACATGTTTTATCAATACACTTCTCAAGAAGAAGCAAGAGAGGAAAAAAAATCTAAAGAGATTTAAATAGAAAGCAAAATAAATATTGGTTATTTCAGTAGGGTTTTACTAACAGTATTTTGTGATGTTGGTCTTATATCTTGTGGGAGGTTATAATGAAATCAGTTTTTGTAATGACTATGCCACCATACCCTGAAACTAAGGTGCCTAAAGCTGGACTGTAATGCTAAAGAGCCACAGTCTCTTGTTACTTTCTAAAGTTTATCTCACAATGATTGATACAGTTACAGGATCCTAGTTGATAATACAATTTGTGCTGCCATTTCTGTTAATAATGTTGGAGGACAGCACCAGGACACATTCAGTCTAAAATAAATTTGGATTTCTCCATTGGGCATTAGATGGCAGTATTAATCAAGACATTCAGAGCTGACTTACGCTGCAGCTATTTCTAAAGATACTCATAATTCTCCTATGAGCGTTTCATGAAATAGGTATTTATCCTGCATTTTCTACTTCTGCAAAGAGAAAGCATAAAATGGACTGCAGGTCTGGTTTTGTAATCTTTTGCATCTTATATTTATTTTTGCTTTAGGGAGGTTCCTAGAGGACAAGTGACTTTATTTCCAGTTAATTATCACTAATGTGTCCAAAATGTTTCTTGTACAATTTTCAGTTCTTCTTTTCTTGTGCATATAAATTTATATATGTCAATGATTACAATTTCAGAGTTAGAGAATGCTCAATATTAAGAAGTATTTATAATGGTTACATAAACATGGGTTTATCATGCCATTTGAAAGAGAGCAGAGCACTAGAAGGCGTGCTCAGCAGCTTATTAGCCATGTCTATGGGCAATCTATTTAACCCCTCTGTGCCTAACATTCCTAACCTGTAAAATGCAGATAATACTGGTTTCCATCTCAAGGTGTTGCTGTTGAGGACTGAGTGAATTATTACATGTAAAGTGCTTAGAACAGTAGCTGGTATTATATAAATATAATATAGTAGCTTGCATTATATAACACTTAGAGCAAAAGTGTTATATAAATATTTGCTGTTTTTAAGGGGGAAGTGGGATGGAGGTGCCACTGTATGTGTAATAATAACCCTTCTAGAGTGTGTTTCTGTTCTGCAGTGCACAACATGTCAAGAATGCAGTTCATACAAAGTGAGGTCTTGTGGCTGCTGTAACCAGGCGGGTTGATGTTCAATGGGGCTAAACAGGTGGCAACATAGCTTACTTGCCAAACAATGGGGGATTCTTTTTGGTGATGACCAAACTCAGAGGTGACTCCTCCGACCATAAGTGTTATGGAATCAGGTTCCCTCCATCCCTGCCACAACACAGAGCAAACGACACAGATCTGGCAGCGCTGAGGGGTGTCAGGCTCAGAGCTCTCCCAGAGGAACAAGAAGCTACGGTATGCACACATTGAGAGAGAAGCCACTTTCTGGGACATGAGTAATCCTTGGCAGGCATTCAGAAGAGCACTTTGGAGGAGAGTTTGAAGATCATTTACCATGGTATACAAAGACTCGGATATTGAAATGTGAACTTTTGAGATATTGTAGATAACATCTAAGACTTCTCAGCCCTGATGCTGGGAGGCATTTGACACCCCCCTCACCCTGAAGGGCAGAATAATAACATTGTGGGGAACTTGGAAGATGGTAAGCAAACCCCAGAGATCCAAAGAGAAGAACTATAGCTCAGATCCTTAGCATCGTACATGGCTAAGGGTTTTGACCAATCCTCTGTGAGGAGAAAGTATATTTTCTATAATGTGCATGATAAAAAATAATAGCTAACGCTTTAAAAAACTATGTGCATGCCAAACACTTTGCTTGCATTATTTCATTAAATTCACATTAACATTAAGGTATGTGTTTTTCCATTACGCTCCTCAGGAGAAAACTGAAGCTAAGAGATGTTAAGTAACTGCAGGTTGTATAACTGAATTAACTAATTCAGTGCCAGTACATACATTAACTGATTAGTAAAACAGAATATAAGTCTTTTATCATATTAGTTCAGTCCTTCTCCATGAAGTCTTTTATAGGTTCAGAAAACTCTAAGTTGAGGGACCCCTCTATGTAATTTTATAGATACCTTTGGATTGCTACAGATGCAATAGGTCTGAAAGGATTTTCCCTGGAGATCTCAGTAAAGGCACTGGGTCCCAGAACAGACAAAGGAAGCAGCTTTCTTTATAGAATATTAGGTAGTGCTACATGTATGTGTCTCTGTATACAAAGACACACACACATATATTTATATGTATATGTGAATGATTGTATTCATTGCATGTGGAACTCGCCTTCTTTATGCCTGATATGTCATCCAATCAAAATTAAGTGTAGGATAATTTTCACCATTCAAATGCTGGGATTTTAAGAGCTCTACACTTGACTTAAAGTCTTATGTCTTTTAATTTTCCAAGACATAGCGTTCACTTTAATGTATAAATTTGACCTCGTCTGCCCTCATTACTCCCATCGTCTATATTATCAAATGGAACAACTTCAGATTCCATCGTTAACATCTATTAATGGAATTCTGGTTTTTCATCTAAATGCTCCCAAGTTAACCTTTCTAATAAGGAGTTAAGCACCTCATTTAAGCAAGAATTTTTTAACTTCAAGTGATCTGAATGAAAATATCATTTTAACTTTCCCTGACATCCTCTTTCCTTTTATATTCCATAAAATTTATCATTAGCTTTCAATGAAGCTTCCAGTAATGTTTTTTTTTCTTGTGCTTGCATCTGACACTAAATACAAAAAAAAAAAAATGTGACTCATCTGCCACAGTGGTTGGGTATAATGTCTGAAACCACTGTTTACAAGGTCCATTAGTGTTTACAGCCCTGCCACTTTCCTTCATGGTCTGCAAAGCATTTTAGTTCAGACTGAGTTATTCTTTCATAGCAACAAATTTTCTATATCTCTTGGATATCTCTTCAGTGTAGAAAACTCCAAAGGGAGTTCTGCTGTCTTCTGTGTGAAGGCCAGGTAATACATTAATGTTGCAGTTCAGCACAGCCCAGTACACTATGATTTGTTTGTGATGCAAGGTGAGCTGTGCATCCGGAACTCCAAAGTCAAAATGGTATCAGAGATGATGCTGTCTAATTTCTACTAAACTGTCCAAAAGCTTGGTGTATTTTTCCTATCACACAATTCTGTTTTTCTTTAATAATCTCTGGTGTCATCACCACTTCAGGTCCTCCATACCCGTAAATATGCTATGCATGAACATGTACACACATGGTAAAATGTGATTTGGAGGGAGACAGATCTTGGGCTAAAACTTTGTCTACAATATTCATCTATAAAAAGAGTAATATAATACTTAGTACCCAAGGAGTCAAGCAAGGCCAGGACTAGAGCGAGGGAAGAGAGGAGCCGATAGAGAAGGCCCTTGCAGGATCTTGAGTGAATTCCTCCTTACATTGTGTGCCCAAGGTGCCTCTCGCTTTGCCCTGGTGCCATGATGCTAGTGTCAAGAAACGTGAAGGGTCTGAGATTTTATCTTACTTGCAAGCTAACAAGTTAGCCTACTTCGGTTTCATGGATGCTGGCAAAAAACAAAAGATCCCTGGGCCAAAGACTGAGGACTCATGGCATATGGAGCAGCCAGAGCTTCACATTCGTGCTAGTTCCCTTGCCGCCCAAGTCTGCTCTGTAATGGTGAGCAGCCTAGGTGGATGCTGTGTCCTAAGTGGGTTTGTCACATAGCTCAGGAATTCCAGGCTTAAAGAATCCACATCTTTTATTATGGTGTGCAAGCAAAGCTGCCTGACCTTTGTCCCAGACTAAGATATTATCTTCATTATATTGGGCAGTAGAAAAGAAGAAGAAAAAAAAAAAAGCAGTGACAACAAAAACCAACCAAACACAACCCCTGCCCTCTGCTCTGGAAGGAGACACCATTTTATCTTTCAAGGCTGTTTGCTATACGAAGATACTCTGGAACTAAAGCTGTGAGTGACTTTGCTCATAACCTGTTTACAATTATCAGAGACTCATGGAGAATTGTCTACTAACATAAGGTTTTATATGACTAAATGAAACAGTGTTGATAAAGCCCTCAGTACCCATACTCAGTATGGGTAAATAGATGGCGCACCGACATGGCTAGCCTAGGGAACGTAATAGGAGCTCAATAAACATTAGCTCACTTTTTATTCCTTCCTCTCCACTCTGAAGCACAGTGCGACTTACATCATTTTGCTACAACCAGAGGGTTAATTGAAGGTAGGAACCATATTTTGTTTCTTCTACTATGGAAAATCATTTTCAGTTGGTTTCTGATTACTTTATGTCTGCATGTGAATCCAGTTGAGTCAACCACTACTGAGATCATGTGAATGGCTGCTATTCTCTACTTCAGGACCAATCAATTGAATCATTGATTATGAATCAATCCTCACTAAAGCAGACCATGTTGGAGTAGTCTTGACCTACCAGGCTTACCGATGCAGATCTAGTAACCAGTATCAGAGACTGGTGGATTACTGGGCAACTTATTTGCTCTCTGATCCATTTCCCTCCCTTTGCCCTGTGTAGTATAATATTGACTCCTGCCACCTGCATTTCTCTAGCTTCTTATCCAATCAGCTTCCAGCTGGGTTTGGCCAGTGAGAAAAAGAGGAAGGAGATAGAAGGAGAGAAAGAGAGTAGAAGCCAGGGAATTTCTCTCACCCCTAACCTTCCTATTTTGGATGGATTTCTAACTATAGTTGTATCAACTATACTTTTAGCTTTGCTAGGCAGCACCACCCTCTATAATCCCACATCCTCATGGGCAGCCCTAACTCTTATGTTCTATTAGCCCTATCTTCTCCCTCTGGTTCTCCAAACCCATAGGTGGTAGTATCTCCCTGCTATTGCCTGGGTTGCCGCTCCAATTCCACACTTGACCACTTTTTTTGCCCTGTGTAATTATCTCATAGAGGTTCTATTTCTTGACTGGTTTCTGTTCTGATAAACTTAGATATCTATACATTTTCTTATAATACTTTCTTCTAGACTTTTCCGAGGTGGTCCAGCCTGTTGACCATGATTCCATCTTGAATCCTTTATTGCCTTGGGAGTTATTTGGTTGTAGAAAAGAGAAAGGAATTTAAGCTAGCTTCATTGAAGGGGAATATATTGTAAGGATGTTGGATATTTTTCCAGAAACACAAAGTGGGACATGCAATCAATCTGCCTTGTCTGCTCTAATAGCTGATTTTCTTGAATGGGGATAGATTTAATCTGGTCCTTTGGGGTTGATTTTGAGGAGGAGGGCCAAAGCAAGGAAATCTTTCAACCTAGAATTTCATTACTGTTCAGCTGAACTATATATACTAAGGAGCCAGTCCAGTATGGGAACTGGGTAGGTGTTGACAGGAGCATCAAGAGGCAACCAGGGAAGGCCCAACATGCTAAGTAGACCTGATTATGGGAGTAGTTGGCTATATGTCCCAGCTAGGAAGACCCTTATCTTAGTAATATGCACCCACAGGGGGAAAGCATGGCCTTTAAAAACATTCATCAAACTAATATCTATAGGAATATTAATGTGATACTAGTGGCTACAGATACCTAGGAGTAGATGGTGACTGAGAGTTTGAAATAGAGGCCTGGATCTGTATTGACCTCGAGGCATATTCTGTATTTTTTTAAAGGTACATCTTGCTTTCTGCCACATTTTTAATTTTATTTTTTTGTAATTTGCCTCTTCCTTGGGAAAATGGGGTGCAAACATGAAGCAAAACACCATGATTAGCATAGGTAAAAGCATTTGATCAAAAGAATCTGATCAGACCGAGCGTGGTGGCTCACATTTGTAGTCCCAACACTTTGGGAGGCTGAGGCGGGTGGATCACCTGAGGCCAGGAGTTTGAGATCAGCCTGGCCAACACGGTGACACTCTGTCTCTACTAAATATACAAAAATTAGCCAGGCATGGGGGTGCATGCCTATGATCCCAGCTACTCAGGAGGCTGAGGCAGGAGAATCGCTTGAACCCTGGAGGCGAAGGTTGCCGTGAGCCGAGATCACACCACTGCACTCCAGCCTGGGCAACAGAGCAAGACTCTGTCAAAGAAAAAAAAGCATTTAATCAAAAGCACTTGATCAAATTATTTAGAGCAATAATTTTATATTGTATTTGTTTTGTGGAACTTTAATAAAATTACGGTCTTTGCTATGTTTATTGGTGAACTTTTATACTTTAGCGGCATTTTAAACATGTTATGTTTTAGCATTTGCAAGCATCTCAACCTCCTAGGTAGCCTCAACTATACTTTCATACATTCATATTGTTTTCATAAAGGGATACCGGTATTTGGTAATTTTTTTTATTACTGTGCTAAAGACTCAAGTCAGCTTTGTGTTTTTACAATCACGTGTGTAAATGAGACTTCATAGGCTAGTTGCTTTCCACTGGATTTAACTAGGTACTCTATACTTGAACAAGGTTGAATTTTTACATCTTTAAAAACCAAGGTGCTGTGGACTGAATTGTGCCCACCCCCCCATACTTGTATGTTGAAGCTCTGGCCCCACAGTGTGGCTATATTTGGAGGTAGAGCCTTCACAAAAATAATGAAGGTTGAATGAGGTCATAAGGGTGGAGCCCTGATTAGATTGGATTAGTATTCTTATAAGAAGAGACCTAGAGGTCGGGCACAGTGGCTCACGCCTGTAATTCCAGCACTTTGGAAGGCTGAGGTGGGTGGATCATCTGAGATCAGGATTGTGAGACCAGCCTGGCCAACAGGGTGAAACCCCATCTCCACTAAAAATGCAAAAAATTAGCTTGGCCTGGTGGCGGGCACCTGTAATCCTAGCTACTTGGAAGGCTAAGGCGGGAGAATCACTTGAACCTGGAAGGCGGAGGTTGCAGTGAGCCAAGATTGCGCCACTGCACTCCAGCCTGGGTAACAATAACAAAACTCCGTCTCAAAAAAAAAAAGACCTAGACTTTCTCTCTGTCCCTCTCATCTGTGAGGACACAGTGAGGAGGTCACCCTCCACAAACCAGGAAGGTGGCCCTCCCCAGCACCAGCCCATGCCGGTACCCTGATCTTGGACATTCAGCCCGCAGACCTGTGAGACAATAACTTCTATTGTTTAAACCACCCAATCTATGGTATTTAGTTATAGCAACTCGAGCTGACTAGTACACAAGGTTTCACTCTAGTAGATTACGCTGGTGTTGCTACATCTGTTCTTAATTTAATGGCAAGTGAGGTGTCTGAATGACTTGAAGTGGCCTTGAAACATGAGATAGGAATAAGTTTGAGGAAACAAATATTTGTTTGTGAATCAATAACATTTGTTTTTCATTGTCAGAGAGAGACTACCCAAGCCCCAAATGATTGCCTTTTCCAAAAATTACAATATGAGGTTTTTGGCAAAAAATTTTGTTTATTAAAGCACACAATACAGTACTGAAATGCTGTAATTTTCCATTAATTCTGGATTAAAAGAATCACATATTTTTAAACAGATTGAATGCTAAATGGAGAGCAACTTGTGAACATATCTGTTACGTAGGATTTTCTCTTTTAATAGAATTCATTTAGCCCCACCACAGCCAAGTAGTATTAGTAATGGCTGGGATCCAGGCCTGGAAATAGTATCATTCAATCAAAATGGATGCTGTAAGTCTAGTTTTTAAAATGGAAATCCACATGTATACATTTAGTTTGCATACCTTACTAAGAATGATGAGCAGGTAGCTGACCCATTATTAGGTGAACAAATAGCACTAACATTAACCAGCAATAAGCTTTTCCAACTTTATTTTGAGTGGATAAAGATTGATCCCAGTTTATGAATGGTTGCCCTGTTGTATCAAAGATGGGCATTATTTCTTTTAACAATTAGTAAAATATAATGTTCGCTATTTTGGATGCCTCATAGCCTTTATTACATATTTTTTAGCCTCCTCCTTATCTGACAGTTGGTGTAGTTTCCCCAGATATCTAACCTAGCACATATGTGAAGAATTGGCACTGTTTCCTACAAAGAACCATGCATGGGAATTTTTAAACAAACATTGATTGAAATGTACATATCTAAGCACCTACTCTGTGCCTGTCACTCTGCTTCAGGCTCAACCTACCACAAAAATTAAGCTTCTATTTTCTGTCTTCGAGGCACTGAAGGGCTCCTAGGGAAAGCAAACCTACACACAAACAGCTTCGGGTAGAGGTAGGGCTGAGGGAAGTGGACTAAAAATGGAACTAGCCTGCTTCAGCTTCTACCTGGAAGACTGCTGTGGCTCACATATGCCATATGAAAGACAGATCCTCCATACTTGTTTGCTTGATGCTTATAAATTATGCACATCTACAGAAAAGAGGGCAATCTTGCTTTGACCTCCAGTGATTTTAGCAAATCCCTTAAGCAAGTGCCTGGTTTTATATGAATAAGAAAAAATATCTTTCCCTCTCTCTACTCTTGACACCTTCCTATTCTCTTTCCCTACATTCTCCTGTCTCTTACTAATTCACAAAACTTCTAAGTACTCTCATACTGCCATTGTCTGGTAGGATAACAGGGTCCTCCACCATATGACCCTCTAGTGTAGAATGGAATCTTTTTTTCTGTAAGGGGCCATCTAGTAAATATTTTAGGCTTTGTGGGCATAGCCTTATCTGTTTGCTGCTTATATATAGTTCTTTTAAAATATGCACATTATTTTAGCTCTGTGGATGATATAGCATGGTGTAGACCAGACAACCCTCATTGGTTGTCAAACTTTAGTGTGCATCAGAATCATCTGGAGGGCTTGTTGAAACACAGATCACTGGGCCTCACCTCCAGAGTTCCTGATTCAGTCTGTCTGGGGTGTGACCTGAGAATCTGCGTTTCTCACCAGCTTCCAGGTTATGACGATACTGCTGGTCTTGGAACTGTGTTTTGAGAAGGCTTTTAGCAGCGCTTCTTAATCATAACGGTATCTTAGAATCACCAAAGGAATTAAAAAAAAAAGCAAAACAAAACTCCCCAAATTATGTCCAGGCTTCATCCCAGAGCATAAGAATGGTTTTTATATTTTTAAATGATTAATATATATCCAGGTCCTATCCCTGGTGCTGTGTGTACACTTGCGCTCATGTGCGCGCGCGCACACACACACACATACACACACACACACCCCTACATGGCTCCCTGGTGAATATTATGTGCAGTCAGGACGGAATACCATTGCTCTCTACCTTGCTCTAGAACCCCTCCTTCCTACAAAAGATATCTACTAAGTACCCTTTCAGGGATACCCTATGCTGTGTGCTGGGCAATACCTGATAAGCTAAGACATGTTTTTAAGTTATGGGTATAGAAGTTTAACTTCTATTACTCCAGGGTCTAGTCTGATCCCTTTCAACACACAGGTGCCCCCTGCCAGCAAGATCTCAAAGTCAAAGGGTCCTCGGGAGAAATAGTGGGATTAATAGAGTATATCTGGAGGCTCTATGTTTATTAGCACACTGAGACCTAAAGAGAAGAGAATTTTTAGTATAAAATAACTACGAGAAGTTTGTGGACTCCTTTTACTTGTTTTTAATGAATATATCCAAAAATGAAGGACAGGGTAAGGGGGGAGATTTGGTGGGAGAAGAGGGAGAGACAAGGGCAGGCTTAGGCTAAGTGGAGGTGGAGCGGATATATCCCAGTCACCTGGCAGGCCCTGGAGAAAACGAGACAGGAGAGTATCCATTTGATGCAGAAAGACATAGCACATATGTCTTCATTGTTCATTTCTCAGGGGAGGGATAGCATTAGGAGATATACCTAATGTAAATGACGAGTTAATGGGTGCAGCACACCAACATAGCACATGTATACATATGTAACAAACCTGCACGTTGTGCACATGTACCGTAGAACTTAAAGTATAATAAATAAATATATGTATGTATGTGTATATATATATATATATATATATATATATATATGGAAAGACATAGCACATAAAATGCCATCTGTGGGGAGCGGCTGGGTCCCGCAGAGGGTGAGCACATGGATGTGCGCATGCCTGCTTGGCGGTGTGTGTGCGCGATCTCAGAAGGGCAATGATGTAATCACTTGAAAATTTCGCCCAGGGTTGATGTTTCTCTTGGACTACTGTTTCCAGGTGTGCATGTGTGGGAGTGAATGGGGTATGACTCTTTCTAGAAGCCCGATCCTTTGATTTTTCTTTTCCAACCCAGTTTGGAAGGGGCCATCAGGAATGTTCAAAGTCAAAAGGGCGGCAGGGCGGTGGCTCCTCCTCCCACTGTTTCAGGGAGCATCTGGGAGGAGAGCTGCAGAAAGATCGAGAAGAGTGGGAAGGATGGAAGGATCGAAGGGGAGAAGGAAGAGGAGAGGGAATGGGATAAGAAATAAAGGGGAAAGGAAGCCCAGAGGTGCCTGCACCCCTGCGCCCCGCCCTCCTTCCTGGGCTAGCGCGTCCCTTTCGCTTGGGCCCGCGGCTCCCGGCGCACAAGATTGCGCTGAGCTGGGTGAGATCCGGCCAGCGGGGACCACCAATGCCGGGCTCGCCGTTTCCCCGTGGGAGTCTGGGAGGCCCCAGACTCAGTTGTGAACGCAGATTGTCCGTTCCTGGGCGGAGGGCAGTCCCAGCGTCCCCTCGGGGCTGGGCACTGCGCGCTCGCGGAGGACGCGCCCAGCGGCGGACATAGAGGCGCTCCCAGGCCCGCGGGCACCGGGGCAAGCGCCCGAGGAGAGGCGCCGTCCACCGGACGTGGAAAACAACAGAAGATCGGCCCTTTCGCTTCTTCTCCCTTCTTGCTGGCCCTTTACCCTTCCTTCCGGGTTGTGCCGGAGGAGCTGGTCTCCCTTGTCAAGGCGCCCGGGGCCGGCGAGGGACAGTGCACACCGGGGGTTCCCGGGAAGGGGCTATGAGTGGGTGGGGTGACTGGGCGGCTCTGTCGGACTCTAGCTTAGGTTTGGCCCTGGCCGCCAGCTCAATGCTGTGCTTCAGGGAGTGAAGCCAGAGCCTTTAATTTCGGCAAAACTTGACTGAGCCACTTTGGAAAGACACTGGGGATGGGGTGGGGTGGAGCTGATGAGTGGCTTCGGAACAGAAGGCAATGCCGCTTGCCATAACACCTCCTGTTCTTGGGCTCACGATGTGTAACTCTCATCAGATCATTGTCATCAGAAGATGGAAAGTAAACGGGACATTTGGGGTTTAAGATCGCCAGTCTATAGTCTGTAAAAGCCCACCTGACGTTGCGTTGTCCATGGTCACCGTCAAATCCTAAAGCAGCGTAATAATTTGAGAGGCTGCTGAAAGGGCTGTGTGGAAAGCCTTCCCACAGTGAGGCTTAATCCTTTCTTCCTCTGGACTATTATAGTACGTTGTTATTCTTTCCCGATGATACCATGCCAAATTAGAAGCTCACTTCCAATTTATCTTTATAGACAGAGTGCCTGGGCACAGGAAAGACTCACAAAATATCGTGGAATGACTGTCCTCTTGCAGTGGTTCTCAAACTTGAGCATTCGCGTCAGAATATCCTGGAGGCATTGCTAAAGCAGTCCTGGGCCTCACCTTTGGAATCCTGATTCAGTAGGCTTGGGGTGGACCCTGAGAATCTGCATTTCTAACAAGTTCCCAGGTGATCCCGATGCCGCTGATTTGGAGACCACATTTTGAGAGCCACTGCCCTAGGGATTGATTTGCCAGCTTTGCTGCACATTAACATCAGAATCACCTTCGAAGCATTCAAACCAAAGCAAACGAACAACGAAGTGTGCCCAAGCCCCAGTGCCAGATATTCTGAATTAATAGTTTTTGCTGGCTAGAAATTGGATTTGGTGGCCGGGCGCGGTGTCTCACGCCTGTAATCCCAGCACTTTGGGAGGCTGAGGCGGGCGGATCATGAGGTCAGGAGATTGAGACCATCCTGGCTAACACGGTGAAACCCCGTCTCTACTAAAAATAAAAATTAAAAAAAAAAAAAAATTAGCCAGGCGTGGTGGCGGGCGCCTGTAGTCCCAGCTACTGAGGAGGCTGAGGCAGGAGAATGGTGTGAACCCGGGAGGCGGAGCTTGCAGTGAGCCGAGATCGCGCCACTGCACTCCAGCCCGGGCGACAGAGCGAGACTCTGTCTCAAAAAAAAAAAAAAAAAAAAAAAAAAAGAAATTGGTTTTGGTGTCATCCTCAGGTGATTGAATCTGCTTCCAGGGCCGAGCACCCATGCTGTGGCGTCAGCAAGTGCCACCATTAGAACCGCCTGTTTAGATTAAGAATAGAGTTAATAGATACACCCACTACCTCATTAATAGGGATAAGTTTGATTGATTTGCTTATCCTGAGAAAATGGCAAATGGTACAAATGCAGTCTTATGTGAAAGGCGTTGTGAAAAGAAGCAAGGTCTGTCTTGCAGGCAGATGATCCGAAGAGGGGATAAAGTAAGGAGAAGGATACTTAAGCAGAGGTGACCTAATTACCAATGATATTCTCGTGTGGGCCTGCAATTCATCCCAACTGCATCCCGACTCCTTAAGCCTTCTTTTCCCAATTAGCCAAGAAACCTGGTTTATGGAGTTGTGATTTAATTCTAGCAGAAAGGAAGTCATTATTTGACAGTGGGCGATATTTCTCTAACATCTTATGTGCCTAATCATATTTGAAGTAATGAGCAACAGGAAGGACCTAGAATCCCAGGTAGGAATAGCAAAAATAATAGGTAACTGTAGGTGTGAATTAAAGGTACATCTAAGCCCCAAGATTTAGAACACTGGGGAGACTTAGAGATTCTGTAGGTCTGTAGAAGACATGCTGCTGTCGTGGCATAGGTGGTCCCAGTGGGAGGGGAGTTCCATAAACCTTAATTTGCATTCACTTTTCCAATCTGCAAGTTGCCCTGCTATTGCAATGTGTTTTCTTACCAATCTGATAGTTGACATATAACCTCTCATTTTCGTTTTGAGTTGAAATTTTGAATTGCTACTGAAGCTGAAATCTTTATATGCCCACCGTCGATTTTAACTGATTATGCTATGATGTGATTATTCTAATCCTTTATTTATGTTTCTATTGGTACCTCTTTTTCTAAATAACTTGTAAGAACTTTAGGTGTCTTAAAGACATGGATATCTTCTGTATACATTTTCCAAATTTTCATCACTTTCCTGTGATAAATGCTCTGATATTTATTTATTTTTTTCATGTAAGCCATTTTTTGGTCTGGAAATAATTTTGCTATATCAAATGAGGTAGAGATTGGTTTTTGCTGCTTTTTCCAAATGGAGAACTAGTTATTCCAGCACCATTAACCCCTAATCTTTTTTCTTGATCTGAGATGCTGCCTTAACCTATACATATATACATACATGTATGTGTGTATATATATAAAATTTGTGTGTGTATATATGTGCTTATATATGTGTGTGTATATATATGTGTATATGTGTTTATGTGTGCATATATGTATGTGTATATGGGTATGTGTGTATATCTGTGTATAAATGTGTGTGTATGTGTATATATATGTGTGTGTATATGTGTGTGTGTGTGCGTGTATATGTGTGTGTATTCTGTCTCATCTTGTTATCTGTCTGTTCTCTGGCCAGTATCTCCCTTTAAAAAACGATTGTAGTTTTTCGAAAGCATTTTAATATTTCAAAGGGCAAGGACCTCCTTATTATTATTTTTAAAATTCTGGTCTATTCTAGCTCACTTATAATTCCAACCGAAATAAGAAATTGCTTTGCCATATACGCTTTCCTCTCAAAACTTATAATTATGATAACTTGGAACAACTGCAGATGTTCAAGGATGTCATTCAGATGAAGGGAACAGCCTCAAGGAAAATATATCACTGGGAAAGCACAGCTCACGTAAGTTTGTTTAACAGGTACAAATGAAATTTGCTTATTTTTGGTCCAGAATGGCAAGGTATTGAATATTCAAAGCTGTTTTTAATTAATAAATTAGTATAAAGTTAATTAACTAACTGACAAATGTGGATATCTAGGCTGTATAGGGCATATTATTTGGGATAAAACTAAACTTCAAGAGACAGTCTTAAAGAATATAGAAGATGGTTCCTTGCTCAGAGGATAGTTGCAGGTCAGTAGGGTGACTCTACTCCTTGAAGTTAATTTGGTATCTAGATTTCTGCTAATTTCATGTTCCGGCATTGATATTGTTTGGCTCTGTGTCCCCATCCAAATCTCATCTTGAATTGTAAGCCCCACATTTTCAGGGAGGGAGGTGATTGGATCATGGGGGCGGTTCCCCTCCTGCTATTCTCGTGATAGTGAGCTCTCATAAGATCTGATGGTTTTATAAGTTTTTGACAGTTCCTCCTTCATGCTTTCTCTCCTGCCGCCTTGTGAATAGGTTGGTGCCTACTTCCCCTTCTGCTATGATTGTAAGTTTCCTGAGGCCTCCTCAGCTATGTGAAACTGAGTCAATTAAACCTCTTTCCTTTACCCAGTCTCGGGTATTACTTTATAGCAGTGTAAAAACGAACTAATACAGGCATCCTCTGGGGCAATCACAATGCTGAACTGCTGCCTTGTCTGGGTTGCAGCAAGAAGAAAAAAGAAAGAGAGCATGGAACAGATATGTTCATGGTTTTAAGGCACAGTCTTATTTCATTATAAGACTAAAAAGACATCCATCACTTCTGCCTACATTGTTTTGCCAAAAGCATAGTGATATGGCCACACCTAAGTGTAGATAAACCTAGAACCTAGAACCATGGGAGGGGACATGCTCAACACTGTCTACACTGTGTAAGAGAAAGATCAGATTTTGTGATCGGCTTGCAGTCACCATTCAGAGAGCAAAGAGACAGCCAGCATATCAGCACTAGAAAAAGCATGTGGTGTGGTAATGTCTGATCATCTAAATTCCTTTCTACCCACAACTGCTATCAATGTCGCAAACAGCAAAAGCCAGTTCTTTAGTTTGTCAACCCATAGTTGCCTTCGATGTCACCTTCTTACAAGAGCAATTGTAGGAGCAGCTGTATAACAAGCTAGGGATGGCTAGTAAAAGTTGGCTAGGGGTTATTCAGAGTGATAATTTTCATTTCTCCAGACATTGTAGAACCAAACTACTGAAATCACTGTAGTTGTTAGGTTGGCTACAATAAATTTTTCTGTCTAGCGTTTCTGAACTGTTTTCCTAATCACATTCTCATGTCTGGCACTGTCCCTATCGATAACTATGGAACATCAGGAAAGAACAATATGGTCTCAGATGCTACAGCCACATTCTGAAGTCTCAGCCAGCCCACCTCTACTAGGCTGAAACATCTAGTGTGCCAATAGGCAGCGTTTTGGTTAAGAGTAAGACATCTCCTTTTCTTTATTTTTTCTTTTGTAGAGACAGGATCTTGCTATGTTGCCCAGGCTGGTCTTGAACTCCTGCCCTCTGCCTCCCCAGTCACTGGGTTACAGGCATGAGCCACTGCACCCCGCTAAGACATCTCCTTTTCTTTAAGTGATTGATGGTTGGGAAGGTTGCTTTCATATTTGATGCACTCATAATGGGAAAAACAAATCCACAGGCTCTGGAGCTGAGCAATATGGCCATAAACTAAGATTTAGACCTACTCTGTTAGCAGCCAAGCTAATACTGGTACTGGATATAGATTTAAACTTCATTTTTATTCATTAGAACTATGGCATTTACTGTTATTTTGCAAGAAAAGATTTATAGTTGTTTAGGTAGATAGTATTTTCATGCAGCTTTAGTGGAATTATGTTTGCTGCTGTGTGAAATTCTTCCTGATAATCTAAAATTAAAGCCATTCTTTGGCAATTTTCACATTTTTCCCCTAGAGAGTTTTTCTGATTTTTTTTTTTTTTGATCATGTAATGAAGCCAATTGCAATTTAGGACAGATTTATTCTAATTAGCTTGAGTGTCACAGATTCCTTAAAGACTGAGACCTTTTGTCTGACAGTAGGAAAATAAGATTTGGTCTCTCCTTTTTTTTTTCTTTTTTTTTTGTTAGCAGTGAAGCATAACAAGCTGTTTGACTTTTCTTTGTTGCATTGAAAGGATTTTCCTTTCTTGGCCCGTTGCCTTATGTCTCCAAGAGAAAAAAAAAATCCCCTCTTTAACCACATGGATTTCTGGGTGCCGATGAAAAACTTCTTGGTATTTTCTTTTTAATGGTAATGGAAAACCCAATCTACGTTATGTTTGATGATGGGATTACAAAAAATTTCCTAGAAAGGGGCTAGAATGGGGCTATCTGATATCAACTGAAAACCAGAGTCAGGGATTATGGACCGTTTTTGCCTGCGAGTGTATTCATTGCCATGTTTAAATACTGTTTTTCTTGAAGATTTAGCATGGCCAAACCAGTTTTTCAAGTAAGCAGATTATATATGTGTGTGCATGTGTGTACTAACCTGCCACCAAGGATCCTGAGTACACTTCTGGATTAATTTTTCTCTAATACCACTTTTCTTGTATGTTTCTCTTCTTCAAAACTTTAGAACAGTTTCTCATGAGCCACTGACTTCTGTCTCTCAGGGTGTCCAGATATTTGCTCTCTCTGTCTGTTTCCTAACAACTCCTATCAGACTCTCTGTTCTACCAAGTAAGCTTCTTCGTTGTCATTGTACATATCATGCTTACTTCTCTCCCTACCAGAAATCTAACACCTATTACATTTGCTTGGTTAATGAATGAATAAACGAATTCTTGACTTAATTGCTTTGCTCAGGCTGATACCTAAGAGACCCGTAATGAAGAAAATGAAATTCACACCGTTTTCTCCATTTTGCTTCAAATCCCTCAACGCCTGTCTCTAGTCAGCTCTTCCTTCATGAAGCCTTCCTTGATAACTGTCCACCTCTTTCTTTTCCCTTCAGGTCATTCATCCTGAAATCATGTAGTATATATTTGGGTATTTAATTTTATGTTTAATTTAGCATTTTATTGTACAGTTTCTTATATTCTTTGGCTCTTTGTTTCACAGTAAGTATTAACTATACCATACCAGAGATTTCTAAGTGCTGGTACTTTGCCATATATTTTTTTTTCAATCCTCTAAGGAACATGCACACACTATCAGACACATAATACATCCTTAAAAAAAATACTTTGAGAATTGAAATGAATGATATTGATATTCAAAGAGAATGTGATCAATTTGTGCTATGGCTACAATTCAGTTCAATTCAGTTCAGCATCTGCCCCTCTATACTATTACCATTAAGCCAGTGAATCACATTTCATGTGTATTTCTTACACACATACACACCCAAAACCAATAGTCTACTGCAGGATTAATTTTAAGTGGTTTTGATCTTATGCAAAAGAAAAGGAAGTAATTCACTGATCTCTCCATTCATTCTCCTTCCCAGTCATGGGAAACCACCACAAACGGTTGCAACTGCCCTTATTCTCTAAATCCTGGGCAAGGCTGCGTTGTTAAAACGTTGCCCCGAGTTTAATGGCAGCTCTGCCATTTACAAACTGTATGACCTTGGGCAAGTTATGGAAGCTGTCTGAACCTTGATTTCCTCCTTGTAAAATGAGGATAATCATGGCACCCTTTCAAGGCCACTTTTGGGATTAGCAGTAATGCTTATAGTAGTCACTATTTATAGAGATTACTATGTGCTTGGCAGTAGGCTGTGTACATAAATTTTCTCCTTTAATTGTTATGACATTTTTGGCATCTATTAGATGCTCAGTAACAGTAGCTATTATATTTCATGCTTTGGCTTAAATGCGCACTGATTCAGACTGGAGATTGCCAAAGACTCATTTCTCATTTCCCAGGCTTGGCAGAAAAGTTTAATAAAGTCAGGCTACCACCAGGGACTTGTGGTCAGTGTAATGGTTACTCTGAGTGGAAACCAAAATGTGGGGTCCTGCCATCCCATCCACCTGATGGCCCTTGGAACAGAGATGCTTGCTCTCACAACAGAACCTGGCTTAGGAGACAAGACGGATGCTGCTTTGAGTGGCTCGTGAGCTGATTCCTAGGACAGCCTGGCAGAAATGGTGACACAATTTCATTACGCATGAAAGGAACTCACCTTATGTAAACTTGGGTGACACTTCAAGAGAGGGGCAACATCTGAGTGTTGCTGGCAAGTCTTATATCCTCTGAGCTAAACAGGCTGTGAGCTAGAATAATGGAACTTATCTTTCAATAGAAGGGATTTAGATTAAACTCTAGTAAGAGTTTCTTAATTGTAAAGGTTTTGAGCTATTGGAAACACATCAACAATAGAACCCATAAGAACTTGTTTAGGGTTTTTATCTTTCTGCATGGATTTCAGAGTATTTCTAGGAAGTGGGCAAATGATCTAGATGATCTCGATCAGTAACTTCCCTGGATAGTGTTTCCTTCTCTCTCTGCCTTTCTAATATAAAATTATATTTTAAATTATATTTATTTTCCCTGTTAATGCAGTTCCACATTAGACTTCTGATGATGGGGCTTGGAGATTGATGTTTTTGAAAAAGTCTTCAAATGATTCCATTGTCTAGCCAGGTTTGAGACCATCTCTTTGGAGAGGACACTTCCCAAAGCCTGGGAGAGCCTGGGCTTCAATCCTGTGTGGGTTTGACTGTGATGTTGTCTTTTTCCTGTCATCTTGCTGTTATATCTCCCATTATGATCCACATGGTGCTGGCTGAGGTTGGAAGAGGGCTTTCTCTCCATTGGTCTTATGATAATTTTATAAAGTGCCTGAATGGAGTGATCTTAATCTTAGTTTCTTACAGAGTCACTAACCATTATATCTTCCATTAGCTTATTGTAACCTCTGATCAGAGCACACCATAGAGCCTTTTCCATTACAGTATCCTGACAGAAGCTTCGGACTACTCATAGTTAAGTGCACTTATTGAGATAACAATCAAAGGCATTTTTAATGTGCCAGATTCACTAGCATCCTTATTATACAGATGATGTCAATGAGTCCTGGAGAGGTTAGCAAACTTGTCTAAGGTCACACAACTTATGAGTAGTAGAGGTTGATTCAAAGCCAAGTCCATCTGGCTTCTGAGCTGATGTCATGGTAGTAGGATCCAGTCACTAGGATGCTTGAGATTGGTGGCAAAATGGCTTACAAGATAAAACAAAGCGCTAGTCTTAGAAAGGGCTGTTGGGGTGTGTTTCTTTTAAACCAAATATGGAACTCAAGAATACAGATGAAGGCAGAATTTCTTTTATTCACAAGATAATATGTTGAGGAGATGGAGTCTTAAGATAAAGAAGGGTAACTAGACAAACTCCAAAAAGCAGTCAAGATCACTGGACACAGAAGCCTGGTGTCAAGATTCTCCTCAGCTCTGGGAGAAAGAGGAATATAAAAATTTAGGCATTTATTCAAAGTAGCTGTTCTGGTAATGCATGTGTTGGCACCACGGTGGGAGGAAAGTGGAGCTGCATAGTCTAAGTGGTAATAGTTGCTGACACTTTACGAGCACTTGCCCATATTCCAGGCAACACGTTAAGGGAGTGATATGCATTTTTTCATTTCATCCTCAGAATAAATCTATGAGGTGAACAGCATTTTTATTTTTGTTTTTGACATCACCAATATGAAGCTGTAATAGATTTACCCAAGTTCAAAGATAGTAAATGTTGTAACTGAGATTTAAATCTTGGACTATAGAGCCTTTACCATTAGCCCTCTCCACCTCAATTTTCTCCTCCCCCAGCCATCACCCTACATCTTCGTTTTGTGATGGAAGATCAAACAGGAAAACTGAATTCTAGCTATTTCCATTCATCAATCCAACTAAATTAAATTGAATGCACTGTCAAATATTCTGTTTTCATGGAAGCTATTTGATGAGTCTTACTTGGTGGTGGGGGTAAGGAGAAGGGGCTTCTGTATTTGAGGAATCCTCCCCAGGCCCCCAACACACACACGCACAGTCTATATGAGCTGTGGTAAGAGACATGGTTGTTTCTCTCTTTAGAACCAGTCATGTGACATAGGCTCATCCCATGAAATGTTCTTGTCTGAGACTTTGAACTTTAAATCTCAAGAAGAAAAGTGACTGGTGAGAAATTTTCCAGAGTGGTGGTAGAAGCATCGGAGGAGACTTGAGTACCCATTGGGGGTGCTCCTAAAAGAGCATCCGAATCACACTTTTCAGTGGTAAGTCTTTAGCCACCTCCTCTCCCTGGGTAGTACCCATTTCTGAAACTCATTCTGCAGCGCCCTCCCCTCAGATCAAGTCTTTGAGATATTGGATATCTTTTAGTAAATTTTATTTTATTTTTTGCTTAAAGTTGAGTTGATTTCTGTTGCTTGCCACCTTGAATCCATACTGATTGACTGCTACATTTTAAGACAACTTATAAATACACGAATTAATTATACATGGGAAATACATAGACTCTTGATACAAATGGGTATTTTTAAAAAAAGCTATTGTCATCTTACATAGCTGGCTCCCTCAAAATCTTGGTCATGTTATATAAAAGGTTTTTTTCTTGTCTTTTAATTTACTTACATTGATCTTACTCTCAAAGTTTCTTTTTGATCTACTTTTCTGATTTATTCCTTTGACTGTTTCTCCAGATTTTTTTCCCCAGCCAGGTGGGCCACATATGGAGTCTTTAATACTTCCGTCAGCGCTCTCTCTGGGTGTTCTGCACCTAAGCTTCTCTAATCATAACCATGATTGCCTTGTACTTTTACAAGCCATTTGCTTATTTAATTTATTTAGTGTACTGTTCCATTAATGACTTAGTCACAGTCTGCTTAAAGATTCTGCACCTCTCCACCTTGGAACTGGAAAAAGAGAGTGTTGCCTTTTTAAAATCCCTGAATTACATTGCAACAGAAAATGAGTATTTTAATTCTTTCATCACTGTTGTATTTCCTATAACCCCGAGTTAGGTTGTTATAAATCTCTTCTCTTGCAAAAGCACTTCTAAAGCTTAAGGGTATTCATTGAGTCTTTGGTTATGATGACCCTGATGTAAAGGACTACATTCGTTGTTGAATAACATAAAGTAACAGAGAGAAAAAAAATGCTAGTTAAAACTACAAATAACATAACTGCCTTTGCCCCTAAGGAGGTGGCATAATTTTTCTCTGGAGTCTTTTGTTTAAGAAAATACGTTAACGGTCTAACCTTGGGAGTTAATGCGTATAGGATTTGGAAGGAGACAGCAAAACAGAAGATTGGTAAATTGGCTTTAAACAAAATAAAAAGAAAGTAGACAGCGGGGAGCTGCCTGGAAGTGAGAAGGACAGATGAGGCCTTGCAATAAGGCAGGAGTTTGCCCAAGTAGAGAGGACACTCAGGAAACAGCCTCTCGAGATAGGGAGGGTGAAAAGAATTTTGAGGATAGAATGTTTAATAGTTTAAGTGTTTTTTTCAATTCTCCAGTAAAAAATGTTATACATAACCTTAATTTAATTATTTTTGGGGGTGTGAATGGGTGGAGGTGATTGCTAGCCAAGGGGTAGAAGTCTCTGATGGGGTTAGGAAAGAAGTGCAGAATAGAAATGACTCAGTAGGAAACAGAACTATCTTCTCTTTCCCCCAAATAGACCAGAGCTAAGAGAACCCTGCAGGAAGATGACGGTGAGCTGATAGCTTTTGGGTTGTAATTGTTACTGCATAGACAAAATTTTGGGGAAAGAATTGACCAACTGGGGAGGCAAAAAAGGAGCTACAAGAACAGTTATCACAAAGAAAGAATCAGCCTGATGAATAAAGGCAGGAAGAATTGAACCTTCCCTTATTTTTCTCCCTACCTTTTGTAATGCTGAAATGTGACAAGGTCTATTGTTCTTTGTAAGTATCTCTCTTAAGTCTATAGCCAAGTGGCATGAACTCTGTTTAGCACTGTCTAAAATGAGACGAGAAGAATCAAGTTATTTCCCCCCCAAGACCATTAGTCAAAAGTAGAAGATATTAAAAGAATATCCAAACATCTAACAGAAATGTAACTAAGTAATTATTTAGAATGTAAGTTTTTTTTTTAGTGAGAATGTTTGTGTAATGGAAGTGATTTCCTTACAGATGATGGGTACAGAAGTCACTGTCTGCTATTTTGCATTTATGTTTTTGATTCCAAACATGTAAAATTTGATCATAGCCATAAATTCTTAATATAGCAGGCCTTATTAATCATTTTATGATTGAGAACAACTTTCAAATCTAAAAAAAAATGTGATTACACTCCATGGGAATGAACAATTCCCCAGCTAGGATTTCTAATATCTATAAGAGAGAGATATAATGATTGAGAGGGAAGAAGTAAGGATCTTTTACAGAATTAAGACAGAAAGAGAATGGGGAAGAGGATAGGCTAGGGAAAGCAAAGGTATTGAGAAAAACAAAGTTGGTGAGAGTTACTTTTCAAACCATCAGAAATATATTTTCTTCAATTTTTATTGTCGTTGGGGTAAGTTCTCACCTTTAGGAGGTACATACAAAAAATAAAATTTCTACTCAAAAAGTAAAAATGGCTGCTTATTTCTAAGTTAACCCATTACAGCAGCTGGTCAATAATCTTAAAAATCTATGCTACAGTAATGATTTGTAGCCACCACCACAGTCAACATAGAACTTACAGTAGTTTTGAAATAAATACTTTGGTTTAATGTTTCTTACTTGAAAACATTTGTAAAGAAATTCATAATTCTTAAAACATTCCCCACTCAATTCAGTTTTAGAACTTAGAATTCAAGTTGTATCATATTTTTAAGAATGTGTAGGTTCTCATAGGCTATTGGTGGCCACCTGAATCTGAATCTTCCTACACCTTCTCTGAAAAGCCATACATATCAAAATAATAGCAAATGAATCATCCATAACCCACATGTAGAGCATAGCTAGGATATGGTGATTTCCACCAACTTATATTTTATGTAAGTAGTGAAGGAAATATATAGTTAAAACTAGAAAATCCAGGTTCATAGCCCACAGTGAAATGGAGAGTTCCTTGGAAACTGACTGGAAAAGTTATCAGAGACTTGGCATAAAGTCTGCCCTAGAAATAAAGAGTTATTTGAGTCTTTTTCTAAAAGAAGGCATTTAGATATTTTTCAAAATAACATTATTTTTTCTAATAGGATTACTATGCTGTGTGGGGACTTGGTGGAGAAAAAAACAACCGGTAGGCAGGAAGTGATTAATTTGTGTGAACTGAAAGCTGTTCATCATATTCAACATCATTCTGCTTCCTATTCCTCATTTAAAAGCAAAATATAAGAGGAAAAAAATAAATATGCAAAAACATTATTCATTAATGTAAACATTAAAAGCAATCCAATATAGTGAAAAGATAGAAACCCAATTAGATAGAACCATTGAAAGGAACCATATAAAAATCCTTACGTAATTAGAACTAAAGAGTTGGGATGTGGATGTGAATGTAAGTCAAGTGTAAATCAGGAGGAGTTTTTATGGGACAGTTACAAGTGAGGGCTCACCAGTATCAGGCACCCAGTCTAGTTACCTTTGATGACAGCCCAAGTCCAGGCAGCTGTAAGGCCCCCAAATGGCATACTGTCATTTCTAGCTGACATAAATGTAAGTTCTGCCACCTGCAGGATAAAACCTGCCTGCCAGTTTTTAGGTAAAGACACTTGTTTCTTTCTCCATTGGTAGCAGGCTCCTGCTACAGAAACACTTCTCTCGCTAACTCAGGTACTTGAACAGAAATCACGGAGGTTCCTCTGCTCCCAACCCTGCCCTACTCTGTTTAATAGGTCTTGTCCTCTAGGTCTCAGCTGTGACTTCCTCTGCAGAAGACTTCCCAGAGCCCAAACCCATTTCCCACTCCCATTCCCCTGCCCACCACCTGCCTCTGCTCATATCCCAGATGGTTCAGCTGTCTTTTCCCATATCTGGTGTTTACTGAACTTACCCTCATCCTTCCCCTCAATTACATTATTATTTCCTGTTGACTTATCTTCCACTAGAGTGTAAGCCTAACTTTTCCCCCTCTTTGAACTGTGTCTATCACTGTGCATACTGTGTATATTCAACAAATATTTGCTCAGAGAATACTTTTGTTCTTCACCATGAGAGAAGAAATTGAGTATAATGATGGAAACTTTCAGAGGTGCATAGTAAAATATGATTACAGTTGTGATTGCTCTATCATATGCCTCACGCACATGAATGAATGGAATAACCCTCTACACAGCTTTCCAGTGAGAGCCATTCCAATTGCATTTTTCTGTCAATTTAGGCAATATTATTCAACTATACAAAAAAATAATGAGTCATTCTCTGCAAATTATACCCCCACTGTAGATAGATTAGATGGATTGGTTTGAGTATGTCACACGACTTTCTTAACTTCTGACATTCAGTCTAGCCTTTCCATGCCTGTTGCAGCTACCAGCATAGCTTGGACCTTTATAGACCTCTGCAGAACTAGTTTTTAAATTGTGAAAAGGTAGCTTTGCTCCCTGTCACTTCATCCACTCTCTGCCACACATTGCAGCTGCTTCAAACCTCCCCCAGCATAGAGGTGACCATGTCACTCTTTTAACCAACAACCTATAGTGAGTGACTCTCCCTTTCATGTTCGTCTTATTGGCAGTGAATAAAAAGTTATCCAACTTACCTTCGATTTTAAATTTTGCCCTCTTCTTTATTTTTTTAATCAAGGTGCAATTCACATAACATAAAACTTACCAGTTTGAAGTTAACAATTCAGTGGCATTTGGTACAGTCACATGTTGTTCAACCACCTGTCTCTAGTTGCAAAACATTTTCATCACCCCGAAAGGAAAACCATACTTACTGAGCAGTTACTCCCTGTGTTAGCCTGTTTTTGCTTTGCTATGAAGAAATACCTGAGGCTGGGTAATTTATAAAGAAAAGAGGTTTAATTGGCTCATGGTTCTGCAGGCTGTGTAAGAAGCATGGTGCCAGCATCTCCTTCTGGTGAGGCCTCAGGAAGCTTTCACTCATGGTGGAAGGTGAAGGGGGATCAGGCACATCACAAGTTGGGAGCAGGAGGAAGAGAGAGAAGCAGGAGATCCCAGACTCTTTTAAATAACCAGATGTCCCATGAACTCAGAGCGAGAACTCACTCATCACCACCGGGATGTTGCTAAGGCATTCATGAGGGATATGCCCCCATGACCTGAACACCTCCCACCAGGCCCCATCTCCAACACTGTGGATTACATTTCAACATGAGATTTGGAGGGGACAGACATCCAAACTTTATCACTCCCCATTTACTCCTCCCCAGCCACTGACAATCACCAATATGTTTTCTCTCTCTATGGATTTATCTATTCTAGATATTTCATATAGATGAAATTATACAGTTTTGACTGTTTAAGTCATTATGCAGGTCAAATTATTGACCTTTGTCTGACTTTTTGATGCAGGGCATAATGTTTCCAGTTTTACTGATGTATCAGTAACTTCATTTCTTTTTATGGCCAAACAATATTCCACTACATAGATATGCCACATTTTGTTTAAACATTCATCCATTGATCGACATTTAGGTCATTTCCACTTTTTGGCTATTGTGAATAGAGCTGGTATGAACATGCATGTACATGTATTTGAGTACTTGCTTTGTATCTTTTGCATATATAAGTAGGAATGGGATTGCTGGGTCATAGGGCAATTCTACGTTTACTTTTTTGAGAAACCACCAAGCTACTTTTTTAACAACAACTCAAAGGTTTTACATTCCCTCCAGCAATGTACAAGGGTGCCAATTTCTCCACATTCTTGCCAACATATATTTATTTTTATAGCCATTTTAGTGGGTATGAAGTGGCATGTCATTTCGGTTTTAATTTGCATTTATTTAATGGCTAATGATCTTGAGCATCTTTTTATGTACCTTGGAGAGATATTTATTTAACTCCTTTCCCTTTTTTTTTTGTTATTGAACTCTAAGTGATTTGTATATTCTAGATACCAGACTTTTGTCCGATATATTATTTACAAATATTTCCCTGCCTTCCGTAGGTTCTTTTCACTTTCTTATTAATGTCCTTTGATTCACAAAAGTCTTTAATTTTGCTGTAGTCCAATTTATCTATTTGTTGTTCATGCGTATGTTGTCATATCTAAGAATCCATTGTCAAATCCAATGCTTTGAAGATTTGCTCCTACATTTTCTTCTATGTGTTTGATAGCTGTCAGCTTTTGTATTTAGGTCATTGATCTATTTTAATTTTTGTAAATGGTGTGTAGTTGTGGTTTTTCTCTTTTAAAAATATCATCTGTCACTCAGGCAAACAGAAATAAAATTATTTCAAATAAATTCCTGTTTCTGAGCCTTTCTTATTTCTTCTGTCTACACTGACCTTCCTTACTCTCATCCTTACCTGAGCTAGTATTACCAATTATTCAATGTTGCACAAACACCAACTCTACCTTATGTTTTATCTTAATCTCCTGTATCCGTTTTCCATTTCCCATCTCATCAAAATTATAAGTAATTTGTCTTTTCTCTGAACCCCCATGACCTCTCTTATGGCACTCCATCATATATTCATGTATTCATTTATCCAAACAATTACCTACACATTCAAATATTCAAAAAATAATTATTGAACACCTGTTCTGCTAAGCTCCGTACCCTTTTCAAATTCTGTTATATGTGTTGTGTTTGTGAAGATATCTTCTTTCTCCTACTGCTGTGAAAGTTTCGAAACATAGAAATACCATCTCATTGATCTCTGCATCTCTCACAGTTCTCAGCTCAGCAAACTGAGTGAATTAATGAACGCAGAAATACTAGCATTTTCTAAACTTTCTACCACTGTCGATGTAGACAACTGCCTCTAAATCCTTGACCTTGACATATCTTCAGCTAACGTGAAGTATAGATCTCAGCCAAAGCTGGGGAAGTTTGTAGCAGTACTCTTTCTCCAAACTTATCAAATTTACTGCACCATCTCTCCTTTGACCCACTACGCATCCTTTCTTCATAAATAGAATTTTCAGTTTCTCTGGGGTGGGAATTGTCGCATCAAGATAACCATCAGCTATTTCCTGGCAGTGAAACCAAAAGAATACAGGACTACTTCAACTTGCTTATAAATTTTATATAAATGTTTGTGCCAGACTCATTTGAAGTTTTAGTAAAGCCATTTAACAAAATCCCAATATAAGAAGTGTTTCATACATTTTTAACTATTTCTTTCCCAAATATTCCTTATATGAAGACAAGAGGAAGTCTTGTTATTGTGTATGTGTGCCTGCGTGTGTGTATGTGTGAGATATGCTTCTTCTACCTCATTCATTATAAACAGGTTTTCAAAATTTTTCTAGTCTTGAAGCAATGAAAATGGCCATGGTGAATACAGGATTGATAGCTTCTAACAGAACATCTGACATTTTAATCACATCCAATGTTGAGTAAAGACAAATTGTTGGATATTTTCTAGGTCTAGACTTTGATTACTTATTTTCTCCAAGCTACAAAATAATCCTAAATTAACAAATTTCTGAATTTAAATACTATTTCCTACACAGTACTGGTTAAAAAAAAAATCTATTATTTAAAAATGAGAAAAGATAGTGTGGCAGGTATTCTGTAAATAAATTCAGTTGGTGTGCTAAAAAATAATAATAAGACCCAAGAACCATGATTCATTTAAATACTTCATTCAACGTAATTTGAAGTAAAATCCTGATGACGGCATTTCTAATTAGGTGGTTATTTTCCATTTCTCTTGTTTCCCAATGTTAAGTTCCCAAAATACTTGCTGATTTTAAGTAATGCATTAGATGGCACTATTCACATAGTTTAGAACGGCAGCCACTGCAGTCGTTTTCAATGCACAGACCCAAATATGCACCTTCTTTTTGGATTTTACACCTTTCCATCTCTGTCTCTAACTGTTAGTTTCCTGGCCTCTTTTTATGCCTTTGGTGCAACTAGGGAAAAAAAATTAAAACAAAAAACTTATATAGGAAAGTTAGTAATTATGGATATCCCATGACAGACATAAGAGCAGATTCTGTGTCTTTTGAATCTTTATAGCTTACTTAAGCAATAAGGAAATATGGAAGATCATAGCTGTTTCTCATTCATGGCTATTTAATGGTTCACAGAAATACACATCGCTATCTTTTGCTAATACAGTGCCAGCCATGCTCGCTTAAAAGTAATGGGATGACTTTGTTATTAAGAAAATGTTCAGATTTGAGTCACATTCTTCATTAAAAATTGTTACTAATTTAGAAGTCTTATTAGATTTTACTATTTTTTCCTTATTATTTCCTCTTTTGCCTTTTCATAGATTTTGACCATTTGGCTTTTTAAAAGAAAACCTCTATTCTAACCCTCCTTATGTTTCTATTTATTTTTATCCTCAAATCCAATAAGGATAATTTGGCAGGTCGAAGCCTGACTTAACTCCATTGGAGCAGAGTCCACATGGACCAGATGTCAAATAATTTAATATATCCTAGAGCCATCAGGGAAATATCTCAAAAGCCTAAATCAAGATGCCTTTTAGCATCAGGGCATAGCTTTCTTTTCGAAATTTAGCTTGGAAAAATAAATCCTCAAGTCACTGTTTTTCTTCAAGTAGCTGAATGGCCTACCCTCTCCAATTTCCACCACCCAGTAAAATCTGTTTTCCAGTTTTCCAGAAACCCTGGGACCTCTTGACCCAGGAAGGTATGATGCCATATGTTAAATCCACTTAGACTAAATTTAGAAGCATCTTTTCCCCTTCCCCAAGTGAGATCAAGCATTCTTTGAGGAGAGGCTAAGCATTGCTTCCGGAACTAAGGGTTGCAAGGTCAGAGGAATAAAGGGGGCTTTGTAATACCTGAGATTTAACCCTTCTTATTCCTTCCAAATACACCACAGATTTTGGATATATATAATGATAAACTTTCAAATGAATAAAATCTTTTTTGGGGGAATGAGCATTGAAAATATATTTGTTAAATGAATGCCATCTGATGGAATAATAATGTAGATCCAATTAGAGTTACACAATTCTTTCTCACATAAAAACAGAAGCTCATAATTTCTATTATCCTATGTTATCGATGAGAAAATTGAAAAACAGAAAGACACACTTCAAGTTCACAGATCTAAGACTCATTCATACTCATCTTCTGATTCCTGATTTAGTATACTTTTAATCAAACTTGGAAATCTCAACTAAATTCTATGTTATTTTTCTGTTTAGCAGTCTACATTATGGATGTCTCACTTAAACATTGGCTTAAATTTGTCTTAATTTATTAACTCAGGGCAAAGCTATAGGTTATTCCCTTTTCTGGTCAGGAAACAATTATTGGAATAGCTAGAAAGTCTCCACTTACTTCTTGGCTAGCTAAATTGCCCTATTACTCCTAAGTTAATCTGAATACTTTTAGGAGCCATGTTCTTCTGGGTTTAAGGATTTTTGAAAGGGTGAAGAGTGTTTTAGAGAATTTATCTCTTAAAGGAAAACTGAAACAGAGAAATGACCTTTAAGTGAGAGTTTTCATGAAAAGACAAACAAAAATTTAGGAAATTGTGATAGACTACATTTGCTTTTTAATACCCACCATATGTCTGATTTTATTCAGGGACTAGAGGAGTGGGTTAGTGCTTATTTTCACAGATTGTATAAATAACAGGCCTGCTATTGCTTCTTTCTTCTAGGTGATAACATTTTGGGTTGTACTGAAGTGCTAGGAAAAAAAACTTAAAACCATCACTAATTATTAATAGAGACAGTCCACTTTTAGGTCTTTGGTTTTTCTGTAATGCCGTGGACTGTGAGCTTTTACATTGGGGGTTGTTTTACCAACCAGAGATAAAGGCGATTGCCCTCAGGCATTTCAATATTAATATTTCATTTCTTGTTGTTTATTTTTCTCTCTGATTTTTTCAGGTTTTGCTTAATGATCTATACATCTAAAAGTAAGTTTTAAAATAAGGGTCCAGTAACATCTTTTTTTAATATATATTTTTACTTTTGTATCTATTCCTTTTTAGGACACCAAACACCAACTTTCCTACTTTCCTTTTCCTGTGTGTCAGTGGTAGGAGGGTAAGTAGATCTTGCTTACTCCCATGCCCACAGGAAAGGAAGCACTAACATTTGCAGAGTGCTCTCTGGGTCCAGGCACTGTGCTAACCTGTTACATATGTGGTGGTATAATATTTCAAAGTGCTAATTGTCCGGTAGAACTGCCAATTCTCCCAGCTTGGCGGCTAAATGGAAAAGCAACATGGCCGTGGGGACGATTTACGGTGGGGAACAAAGTTCTTTAGCTTTTAAGTTCAAAGGGCACCATCTGGGTATGACACAGGGAAATTTCTGAAAAGGAATGCAGTCAGGGAGAACAGGTTTTTCTTCCTAGTTTGAGACTAAAGAGATAAAGGAGCCTGGAGTTTGCAACCAAGCTATCCCCAAAGTCATTCAGTTCTAAAAACACTGGAATTGATGTTACTTTCTGCTTCCCTTCCTTGAAATATGTCTGTGGCTTCTTCATTTCAGAGGCCACCAAGAATCAGCAGTTTCTCAAAGGATAGCAGATTGAGGTTACTTCTTTGGGATTTGTAACAAAAACGGAACAATCGAGCACAATGGACTGTTACAGAAGGATTCATTAAACATTTTAGTGGACAAGTTTGCAGATACTGCTCTTTGGTAGTAGACATAAATCTCCCTATTCTTCCTCATTTCTAAGTTAATAACAAACAGGTCTTGCCTCAGCCTTACCCTTCTTGCTGCTGCTTCTGTTGGGTTTCAGAGGGCTTGCAGACTTCTGCAATGACTTCATCTGTAAGTATTTTCTAGCCTTTGTGGCAAATCTTTGTAAGTTCCCCATTTTCTTTAAGCCCATCCCTGGGGCCTCCTCATTGGCCACTGGCTTTCTGTCTCTCACTTGCGTTTCTCTTCTCTGTATCTTTGTCCTAACGTATCCAGTATCTGAAGCACACTAACACTACTCTGAGTTATCTTTTTTTCCCCACGAGTTTTTGTCAATATGCAGAATGAAAAGAGCTATTCATTTCCTTTAGAAAATTGTCATTTTGTAATAAAAAGTTTGACTTCTGGTAGTGAAAAATTTAGCATACCAATAGGAGGAATCATCTCCATTTCCTCCTTCTCCAGAAAATAAATAAGCCACACCCCTTTCTAGTTACTTCCTCAGTTTCTAATTGTAAAGCATCCCCGAAGCAACCATGCTCAGAACAGCAGTGACTAGCAGCTGCTGGAATTACAGAAGGGAGACAAAAGCTTTCAACCCTCTACTGCACGTGGTATGTTGGCTACTTCAGCAGTGTGGCCACTGTGAGAGAGCTGGGCTAGATGTTTGGGTTTTAGGTTCGTGCATAGCTCCTTGTACAGATGTCACTTCAGACAAAATCATTTGTCTTAATTCTTCATCTGCAAGACAGATTTCTACTACCACTGAGTTAGGATAAAATGCGATGAAATATATACAAACATTCAAGATAAACATGCTTTTATAATGCAGAGTAGTGGTGGTGTTCTTTGGAGATAAGGTGATAAAAAATTCACTGTCTTTTGTTAAAGACGAATAGACTCAAAATATATGTACTGTTTAGATAGGATTTTTTTTAAGATTAGATTTCAATGCAAATCTGTTTTGAAGATTAGTACAATCTGAACTGTTTTGGACATCTTTGTTTTGTAAATTATTTAAATGAAACAATTTTTGTAAAGCTGAGCAAATTATGCCACTTATAAGTCAGATTTTTTTCTTTTATTTTAACATAACAGCGAGGCAAATTAAAAGTCGTTGTGCAGAGTGAATACAAAGAACAATGACTGAGATTCTTGCTACTTAATAAGAATTGTTTAGTTCCAGACTTTAGAAAAAGTTATCACTTTTTATATTTGCTGGTGGCAATCAAATGCAAGGAAAAAACAGTTTTGAAGAAAAAAACCAAATAAATATTTCAAAGGCTATGCAGATCTATTTTCATTTTCACAGATGGAAATACTGCAAAGTTGATTATAGTATATTTATTTTATTCAGAACAATCTCAGTTGGATCTTTCCTTCTGTACAAAAAAATGTAATTTAGATGAAAAAGTGTGCTTTCATGTCACATTGATGTCCTATGTGGCCGGCATTTCAAAATTGATAGATGATATACATAATCTTTTCTACTTTGTTAAAAACAATACTCAAATTTTAAGTTTGTTTCTCTTCAATTGCTGTGATATGGCAGGGAAAGAGTAGAAGATTTGGTCAGGAATTAAGGCTGAAAGATTGATGTAGTCCAGATAGTTGCAACATGAGAAAGCAAGAGGGAAATAGGTGACTGCAAAAATACCATCTTGCATTGCTGAAGGAAGATGATGGAAAGTGGAAGAAAACCTAATTTGCCTCAGAAATGCAAAGCCATCTCAGGACTCCATTAACTACATTCCTGGGATGAGATTCAGAAGTATCACATCTCTCATTTCACCATCCCCTTCCAACATTTGCTCAACTCTGATGGAATTTTAAAGCTACATGCATCATCAGGTCAATATTTCAACCTGGAATTTTACATCTGGTTAAAGACACAGCACTCCCTTCCTTTCACTTTGTACCATGCACTTGGTGTCTTTTTGTAAGCATTTCTGTCTCCTGCACAGGACTAAGAATAACTTTGAGGTAAGGGAAATCTCCCTCTCTCTATTGCTAAGTGTATCTCTAGCAGGACTTACCACAGTACTATGCTTTTAATTAAATTTAAGAAATAAAATATATCCAGTTTACATAGTGTTTGTTTACTGATCAAAAACTACAATACATCTTTACAACAAATAGAATAATACTTATCCTAGGACCAATTAGGCAGAAGCCTACATAGACAACTGAAAAAATGTGAAAATTTCAGAAAAATAAATACTACTATTAAAAGAAAAATTTTGCCTGAGAAATGCAAGAAGAAAGTATTTGCATATGGCAGAAATAGACAGGTTTCTCCATTTGCCCCTGACTCTCTGTTCCCATGTCTATTCTCCGCCTTGGTCTGTTTTCTAGGAATGCAGCTTCTGTGAACATTCACTTACAGGGTTCTTCATGATTGTATGTTTCTATTTTTCTGGGATAAATGCTCAAGAGTATATGATTGCTGGGTTGTATGGTAAGAGCATTTTTGGTTTCATACATTAGTTCCACTTTTAGCTCCCAGATAGCTTTGTAAATACTATCTTTACAACTCTTCAAATTGGCCATCACTTTCCTGTTGAGATGGAAAGACTGAAATTAGAGAAAAACAAAATGTTGGAAATATAAGAAATTTCTAAATTATGTAGAATATGTTTAGTCACGCACTCTTTGCATATAAATATATGTACCTTCTTTGTCTTACATTCAACTGCAAACATGGGACAAGAAAGATGGACAAAGAATAATAATTGTCTTCCACCTGTCAGAGGAAATCCAAGATAACATTATTTTCTGAAATAGATCAGCAGAAGTTTAATTTGGCTCTGGTTATATCTACTAGCTATTGTCTTCCATAAGGCTGTGTGTACTCTTCATAATAAAAAATAAACTGGAAACATCAAAAAGTTACAAAGCTCAAATTAACACTAAAAATGAGAATCACCCACATATATCTGAATGTGTAGTAGCAGGACTGTATCTCACATTGCCCGAACACAACAATTGCATAAGTTGTCACAAAGGGCAGAGAAAATATCTTTTGTCTGAAGTATAATTGTGAGGTACAGGATGCTCTGAGCCTCTCCCCAAATCAGAGTGCCTCATGTCACTAATGATTCAGTTATTAATGCATTCTAAAAATATTTCTTGGCCACCTACTGTGTAAAATGCATGTACAGGAAGACAAGCTATAATTCTATGCTCCAAGTTAATTCTCTGAGGACAGCAAGTCCTCAGGAATTGCTTGGGATAGCATTCAAACACTAGTAAACATAATAGCAAACTTGAACAGAGGAACTCTGAGTTTTAATAGCTGCATAATATGCATAACAAAACAATGGAATCAGATAAACTCACCCCAAAATAAAAATCTTGACTTTATAAAGTATTGGAGATGATCATAAAGATAAGTGTTGTTTTATTGATTTTATTTTTTTCTCATTGTCCTTATTGTGCAAATGACACAAACCTAGATTCAAAATTGTTAGATTTTGTAACACTGAAATTTCTGCTCTACAAGTACAAAAATCATGTATTTTTCAAATAAAATCAGAAGCTCGACATGCTTTGTTGTATAAAAGGGTAGTGTAGATAAGGAAACAGCTCAAAGAAGAAAAATAGATACAGATTCTCTTGTTACTCTCCAGGATGCACAGGAATGGAAAGTGGGCAGGAATTGAAAGACCTTGGACAAATTCTGCCTCTAGCATATTCCCACTGTGTGTAACCTTGGTAAATAAATCACCGTCTAGATTCTCCTATCCTCCTCTATCTTTCTCTTTCAAAAAATTAAATAAAAATGGCAGGATAATAATGCCTGCTTTCACAAAGTAATTATAATACTTACTTCACCGGAGTGCTGAGGTAGTAAAAATATAGTAGGAAAGCACTATTTAATAAATGCTTACACACCTATGCGAACAAATAGTATGATTTCATACAAACAAGTGCTGAAATTCAAATAGTCATTCTTCTTCCTCCCAGTTTTCCATTGTTTAAAATTTTTGGAAATCCTCCTATGACATGTTATTATTAAGATCAGTTTCTCAGTCTCATAAGAGCATCATTCCCATTATGTTACAGCCGTGTGTCCTGTTTGGTCAGACAACCCTTTCTTCTTCCTTGGCTTAATAACCTACTTTATTCATCACATGGCATCAAAATTACCTTTGAGTTTTCTTTTCAAAATGGTGAATCAAGTCATCAAAGAAGGGACCATTCACCATGAGTGAAGGTATCTAAAAGAGTTTGTCTCAAGCTTTTAAGTAGATTCTGTAGTTTAAATAATATATACTTACAGAAAGCTGCATAAATTAGGTGTAAAGCTTGATCAGTTTTCACAAAACGAACACATTGGCTAACTATAACCTAGGTCAGGAAATAGAGCATCACTGGCAGCTTAGTAGCCTCCTTTTTGACCTCTTGTAGTCATTAACAATTCCCTATCTGCCCAAAGGTAATTACTATCCTGATATCCATCTATACAATTTATGGAGATAAAGTTGTTATCTACAGGATGACAAAATATGTACATTGTGTCATATTCACTTAAAATTAATAATTACCCACATCATTACATATATCTGTAGTCAATTTTCATGTGTTAATACATTGAATAAATATTATGAATATGTCATTATTATTCATTCTGATGTCTTGATGATGATTTGAGAGAAATATTAACCAGTTTCAGGCTATTTCAAATAGTGTGGCTGTAAACATCTTTGTATATGTGTTTTGGTGAACATAAATATTTCTGTTGAGTGTATTCTTACGAGTGGAATTACTACATCCATGGATACGTATGATTTCCATTTAATTAGATACTGCCAGTTTTCAAAAGTAATGAAACCAATTTAGACTCCCACTGCTATTATATAAAATTCTGATTTCATTTTTTTAGGGAATATTACTTAATTTCTAGACATAAGGTGATTTTATAGTGATTTTGCTGTTATTAATTTCTAGTTTTTTATAGTCAGTGAAGAAATTCTCTCTGATTAAAATCCTTTGACATTTGTTGCAGCTTACTTTATAGACTTGCATATGGTCAGTTTTTGATAACTACTCAACATTTCCTTGATGTATTAGTCAATTTTCACACTGCTATAAAGAACTACCTGAGACTGGGTAATTTATTAAAAAAAGAGGTTTAATTGACTCAGTTCTGCATGGCTGGGGAAGCCTCAGGAAACTTAAAATCATGGCGGAAGGTGAAGGGGAAGCAAGGCACATCTTACCATGGTGGCAGGAGAGAGAGAGAGAGAGAGAGAGACAGAGAGAGAGAGAGAGAGAGAACGGGAAGGTGCTGCACTTTTAAACCATCAGATCTCATGAGAACCCACTCACTATCATGAGAAAGCAAGGGGGAAATCCACCCCCATGAGCCAATCACCTCCCACTAGGCCCCTCCCCTGACATGTAGGGATTACAATTCAACATGAGACTTGCATGGGGACACATGGCCAAACCATATCACTTGATAAAGAATGTACATTCTGCAGTTGTTGGTGCATTGTTTTATATTTGGTCAATTAGGTCAGATTAGTTATAAGCGTCCAAATCTTTTATAATCTTATAGACATTTTTGGTATGATTTTTCTTTCTGTCACTAAGATGGGATTGTTAATATCTCCCATTATGGGCCTGGCGTGGTGGGAGGCCAAGGTGGGTGGGGAGACTAAGGTGGGAGGCCAAGGCGGGTGGATCACGAGGTCAAGAGTTCAAGACCAGCCTGGCCAATATGGTAAAACCCCATCTCTATGAAAAATACAAAAATTAGCTGGGCATGATGGTGCATGCCTGTAATCCCAGCTACTCAGGAGGTTGAGGCAGGAGAATCGCTTGAACCCAGGAGATGGAGGTTGCAGTGAGCCGAGATCACGCCACTGCATTCCAGCCTGGGAGACAGAGCGAGACTCCATCTCAAAAAAAAAAAAAACAAAAATACAAAAAACAAAAACAAATATATATATATATATGTGTATATGTGTGTGTGTGTGTGTGTGTGTGTGTGTGTATATACATATATATATCTCCCATTGTGATAATTCAGCTTCCGTGTATAGTCTTGCATTTTTTGCTGTATATATTTTGAAGGTACATTATTAGATGCATAGAGTTTCTTTTTTTTAATTTTTTTTGAGGCAGCGTCTCACTCTGTTGCCCAGGCTGGCGTGATCTTGACTCACTGCAACCTCTGCCTCCCGGCTTTAAGCAATTCTCCTGCCTCAGTCTCCAGAGTAGCTGAGATTACAGGTGTGTGCCACCACGCTCAGCTAATTTTTGTATTTTTAGTAGAGACAAGGTTTCGCCATGTTGACCAGGCTGGTCTTGAACTCGAGACCTAAGGTGATCTGCCCACCTAGGCCTCCCAAAGTGCTAGGATTTCAGGTGTGAGTCACCGCACCTGGCCTAGAGTTTTGTTTTAATCTTCTTTGTGGAGGAATGTGAAGGATTATTCCTAGTAATGCTTCTTTCCTTACACTCTATGTTTTCTGGTATTAATTTATATGCACTAGTTTTCATTGGATTAGTATTTGCATGGAATAGCTTTTTTCCATTCTTTTACTTTCAACGTTATTTTGTTCCTTTATGTATCTTTATGTCTTATATGCAGCATTTATTTTGGATTGTTTTATACAGTTTGATAATTTTTAAAAATTAGAATATTGAGTCTGTTTATCTTTGTGGGTATACTTTCGTTTTTTGCTTGCTTTTAATTTTTTTACTAAAGTGAAATTTTCCTACAGTGAGACCTATACATATATCTTATCTATAATATGATAACTTTAAAAAAGTATATACTCATACAAACCACTCAATCAAAATATAGAATATTTCCGTCTTTCCAGAAAGTTCCCTGGGTCACATTCCAGGCAGTCTCTACTCCCATAGACAACCATTTTTCTGAGCTCTAACTCCATAGACTGGATATGTACTTCATATAAATGAATCATACAGCATGTAAACTTTTGTGTGTATGGTTTCCTTTATTTTGCATGATACATGCTTACCATTTATAAGTTTTTTTTTTTATTGCTGAGTAGTGTTATATTGTATGACTGGTTCTTTTTTTTTTTGGTGATATACAGTTGAATTGTTTCCAGTCTTCATATATAATGAATAAAAATTCCATAAGCATTTATATGTACATACATTCTTATTTTTCTTAGGAAAAATTCAGTGGGGTATAATTTCAGGGTCAGAGAATAGATGTATATTTAATTTTACATAAGAAACTGTGAAAAAATTTTCCCAAGCCATTGCACTACTTTACAATTCTACTAAGCCATGTGTATGTGATATAATCACTGATATATTTGACATTAAATCTATCGTCTTACTCTTTTCTACTTGTTCTGCCTGTGATATTTCTTTTTTATGCAAGTTTTTTCGTATTTATTGCATTTCATAAAATATTTTATCACTCCACTTTCCTTTCTTTAACTTTGTAGGTAGACATTAGTTACAAACCGTATTAGAAGTCACTGTATGTATCCTTAACCTATAAGACTCTAATATAAATTGTATCTTTATCACCTCTTATACCTTATGGAGATCTTAGACCCTTTAACACCAGTTACTGTCATTCTTGCTTTTTGGATTATTATAATCATGCATTTTACTTCTATAAATATTTCTGCCACATAAGGAGAAATTATATTTATTTTCAGTCAATATTTATTTAAATTTACCCACATATTTAAAATTTCTTTTTTTTATTGTTTCTTGCATTTCTGTGCTTCTGTTACAATTTTCCTTTTGCTCGAAAAAACATTTTAATATTTCTTGTATGCAGATGTGTTGGCAAAAATTTGTTATAGTTTAAGTTTGCGTAGAAAAGTATCTCATTTTAGAAGACTATTATTTCTTGGCATAGATTTCTAAGTTGGCTGTTTCTTTTTTCTTGAAAGATATCATTTCGTTGTTTTCTGGATTTATTTATTTCTATTGAGAAATTTACTATGAAAAGTATTTTGCCCCTTGAAAGTAAAAGCTTGTAATTTTTCTGTAGCAGCTTTGGAGGTTACCTCTTTTCTTTTGTTTTCAGTAGATTTTACTAATTTACTGAGGCATGGTTTTCATTGTATTTACTCTACTTTGGGTTCATATCGCTTTTTGAATCTGTGGGTTGATAACTTTTATTAGTTTTGAAGAGATCCTGGCTATTATCTTCATAAATGTTGTTCGTTTTACTTTTGTTCTTTCTTTCCTTTGGGACTCTAATCACCTTGGCATCTTGTCTCACGTTCTCTGAAGTCTTTGTTCTGTATATTCTAGCTTTGTTCTCCCTCTGTTTTAATCTGGATATTTTTTGTAGTCACCTGTTTTCCAGATCATTGTCTTTTCTTCAGTTGTGTCTAACCTGTCATTATGGCGATCTATTGCATGTTTATTTTAGTTTATTTTAATTTTTAGATCTAGAGATTTCTTCTTCTTTGAATAGATTTCAGTTTTCAAATGCAATTCCTCATTTTGCCAAGTATGTTCTTGAGTTATTGGAAAGTCTGCCTCATAACTCCGTTATATCTATTACATCACCATCTGTTTCTGTCATCCACTTTGTCACTGGGTCTCCTTTCAAATTGTTCAGTTTGTGCTTACCTTCTCTCCAATATTATGGCTCCTTAGGGGTTGGACTCCAAGTTTTAGCTCTCCAGTTTGGTGAGACTGCAGGAAACTCTGGGATTGCTTAGGGAGAAAAGTGGCATAAAATAGGAGACTCATCTCAATGAATTTCTCTGATCTTTGTGATCTTGACTCCTTTAGGTCGGGGCTGCTCTGCTAGCTCTCTAAAACTTTCAGGCAAATTCTAATTTTTTTTTTTTTTTTTTTTTAGACATTGTCTTGCTCTGTTGCCAAAGATAGAGTCACTGGCGTGCTCATGGCTCACTGTTAGCCTCAACCTCCCAGGCACGGGCTATCTTCTCACCTCAGTCTCCTGAGTAGCTGGGACCATGCCTGGCTTATTAATTTTTTTTTTTTTTTTTTGTAAAAACAAGGTCTCCCTGTGTTGCCCAGGCTGGTCTCAAACTTCTGGCCTCAAGTGATCCTTCTGCCTCGGCCTTCCAAAGTGTTGGGATTACAGGCATGAGCCACACGCCAGCCTCAAGCAGATTCTTGAAAAGTATTTTGTTAAGCTTTTCTAGTTGTTCTGGGTATGAAGACCAGTCAACACTAGTCTGTCATAGCCAATGGTATGTACCTTATGCTTTCATAGTGAAGCTAAATGATTTAATAGCCATAGTACCACTGCAGTTGCACTTTAATCCAAAGGCCCCTGGGATTTTTAGCTTCAGGAGAGAGGCAAGCTGCCATCAGGAAAAAACCGATCAGCTGTTCTTCCAAATCAGCCACAAGCAAAGCTTAGAGAAACTGAAGTAGTATGTCCTTGGCCATACTACCTCCCAGACATATTTCTGGAATGAACAGACACAGGATAAAGTCTGGTCTGAGCAGCTCTGATCTATTCATGAAAATTTCACACCTGAATTTTCACATTTTTTGCATGATTACTATATTATGGAAATAGTAAAAAAATGAGGAAATCTCCTTACACTTACAAGCAGAAGTGGAGACTGATACAATTATGACATCAACTTGTGCAATGACTGTGCAATTAGTTGAACTATCTTAATAATCAAGTCCATTGCCCTCCTCCAAAGCACACCACACACACCTCCCCTCACCAAACCCCAAACCAGTATGCGTTAATTTAAATTTAGGATAAATCAAGAGAAATATTGTCAGCTTCTGTTTCAACTTTAATTGAACTAAAATACCACAAGGATTACTTTTTATTTTCTAAATTTTCAGATTAAAAAAATTTAGCAAAAATGGAACTAGTATGACTAAAAGACAAAATGCAAAATTAACAAAATAAGTACTATAATAAATCAGAGTAATGAAATTAGAAAATAAATTTATAAAGACAAATATAGTTCACTCATTTCCTTTCAGTTGTAATGAATTTCATCCTTTACTACTGCGACTGTATTATTGCTGTTTACATTGTAACTGCATTATAACGCATTTCTGTACAGGTAATTTGATTTTCTTGCTTTTTAAAAATCTAGACCTATTTTAATTGTGGTAGGGGAGTTCATTATTTAAATGATACTATAAGGAATGCATAAGGAAAAATAATTTATTTGGTAAAGTCAACTCTTCCTTCTCATTTATGTTTTCCAAATTTGAAATATCCATTATTAATTTTTAAAAAAATGAAACATAGGTGTTTTAGAGTGGATATAAATTATAAGTAATTCTGGTTCCCTAGTCAAGAAAATGGAATTGTATTTGAGGTAATATGACAGGTTTTGAAAACACAATTAGAGCCTTTGATATTAATAAACACATAATTATCTAAATTAATGTTTGATACCTGAAATCTTTTATGGGTACATTGTCAAGAGACTTACTCCATAGGAGGAACACCTGTATTCCTATGGTTCTGAGGCCATATTTAATACTCAGCATGCCCTTAAATGTTACAATAATATGAATTTATGTTTTAATCAGAACAATAAATGTAGCCTTATATGTTCCTTAAGTTCCCATTCTCTTTATTCGCTTTCCTTTGGTAGTTGTCTAAATGCCAGAACCCTGCATGTTAGTTTTGCTTAGAAATATTTAAACCAGACTGCCAAAAACCTTTTCCTACAGCTTTAAAAAACCATTTCTCAGACGTATAGGAATTCTTATTTGTTGAAAATCTGCATGAATCTAAAATTAAACACAACAACAGCAATTCATGTTGAAAAGAATTTATAAAGAAGGAAACCATGGCAACAGAATCATTTATTTTTAACTGTACCAACCCTTATCTCTACTTTCACCCCCAAACTAAGCACACTGAAGCCATAGCCTTTTCTAGACTGCCTTATCCCCACTGTAATTTTGCACCAGTCAAAAATAGCAACAGGAATTGTCATATTTCCATTACTAAGTACTGTGCATGCCATGCTTCTCTTCCTCTTTACTTGCTCACATTATCCTGCAGACAGCCTTTGAGGAACTTTTGTGATTGTCAAGGGGAAGCTCAGCTATTGCATACTGCAGGGCCAATGTCACTGCTAATGCCAACGACAGGCTCTCTAGTGGTTAGATTGAGGTCCTGACTTAATTCCTCAGAGATCCCACATCTTATCAGAAGTGAGCTGACCACACAGGACAAGAGCAGATGTAACTGCAGCATATCACAACACAGCATCCCTTGGCTCCCGGGGATCCTGTCTGTACACATATCTGAATAGCTCTGTTTTGCTACACCACTGCCTTTTATCTTCCTGGTCATACTTACACCGCAATGCCAGGAGAACTTACACTTACAACATGCATGCTTTCCTTAACCAAAGGCTTACATACTACAGGAAAAGGTTATTTTTGTTAAAATGTCTTAAAAGTGATCATCAAAACTTTTCACGGGATTGATAAAGTTGGAAAATGTCAACGTATTTTCCCATTAGTAATTTCAAAAACAAATTACTTGTAAGACCAGTCTAAGTCTGAAAATCTAGTCACCCGTTTTATTAAAATATCAACTGATAGGATACGGTATTTAAAATGTGTCTTTTGCAATTCATTTGTCTGTTTTGATTTCTGTTAGCTCACTTGCATGAGGAACTTAGGGTGTTCAGAAATAAGGGTTCATTCCTCCTTGATTCGGTTGAGCTAGTCATCCCAGAAGGGCCCTAAGAGAAACACAGGCTTCATTATGGAAGATCAAAGACTTGGGTAATACAAATAGGTACAAGAATATGTTTGAAGGCATGAAGGGCACTAACCCAGTAACCCAATTAAATCACATGGAAAATTGATCTTATATTTTCTGAAATAAATGGAAAATCTGATGGTTAAAAGGACACTGGCCCATTTATCTATGAACCATACTCAGGGTTAAATAAGAGACCAAGAGAAGGCTACGTCTAGTAATGTGCTGGTTATAGCAATAGGAGAGCAGAAGCACTGACTCCTTTTTGGTTCATTTACACTTCTTTTTTTATCTGTTCCTGTCATTTGTTCCCATGGCCCATTTCTCCGAATTGCTCCCATTAGACTGGTCTGTAGGTCAATTTGCCTGACTTTTCTTCACCAAAGGCTTTCTGGAGGATGATCCAAGGTTACCAGGGCTATCTGCATAAAAACATTGACAAGCTCTCACATAGATACTTAACAAAAAGAATGAATATCTACCAACGGCAAAGTGTCACGTTTTCTCTGAAGTAAAGGAAAACAAGAAAAACGTTGTTTGGAATTCTTTGAAATCAGACTAAGACAAAGCTACGTTGCTTTTCAGCTTCAGTACAGAAAACAAAATCTGCCTCTCTTTGGAGGAATTATGAAGAGAAAAGCAAGAATATCATATAGCTTTTCTGTTTCCACAGCTGCAGTTACTTTATTTTCTATGATTGCTTTTTTGTTTCCAAGGTTTCCCATTTTTGGTAGCAGCTCTGAGGATTTATTCAGCAAATATTTATTTTGCCCCTACAAGGTATGAGTCACTGCCCATGATAAATGATAGCTGTGGAAGTCTGGCCACGGAAGCACAGAAACATGAGGGAGTCTAGGTGTAAATAAGGTTTTGAATAGTCATCTCTCACCATCCTAGAGACACGAGAAAGAAAGCTGCTTATTCAGCAAAGAAAACACAATAAGAGCACAAAAATAAGAGAGAGGACACAAATTTTTTTTTTCCCCACAATTTGTGGAGTATTGCTAAATGACTGTCTTTGAAAGAAACCACATTTTGACACTATAATTTGATAAAGAAATAAGAAAAAATAAAAGTTTATTCTTTCTGAGCCTGTGGCCAGCCTTGTAATAGTCAAACTGATCAATTTGGATACCTTTGCATTGAAAAAATACTAAAAAGTTGATAAAGCCCAGGCTAACAATTTTTGTGATTTGGATATGAAATTGGACATTTATTACACATATTAATTAGGTAAGCAAGTGGTAAAGGAAATTTTGAAATATCTGAACAAATTGCTCTTGGATCTCCGAGGTGCACCTATTCTCAGGAAGATACAAGTATTTGAATTCTTTGTTGCTGTAAGGAAACAGTAATGAAAAGAACAATGATGTTAGCTTGAGGAGAATAGATTTATACTTTGATATTTTGTTTATAGCTAACTCTTAAATGGATGTTTTAAAGTGTCTGATGTATGTAATAGGATAACAGTAATAAATACATGAGGCAATCAAGGCAAGGGAAAAAGCAGGGTGTAAAACAGCTGAGGTTAAGCCAGGGGAGCAGGAATGTAAAGCGTCATTGCCGTGGGGCACTGCCTGCTTACCAGGAGAGAGCCACCGTTTTGTTCCTGACCTTTCTGGCCACTGTTCTAAATAGGAACCACGCAGTTACATGTTTCAAGAGTGTCCATGAGCTAAATCCCAAGAGTCATTCAGAAGAAGCATGACTATTCCCAGTTCTTAGGCTTGAGAGAACTTTCTCCCTCCCATGGGTCCTCATAAAAACGTCAGTGCATCATCTGGTGCAGCTCCTGGAGAGGGTCCTCAGCAGCAGCCAGGGGAATCTCAAGGAGAAGCTGCCTCCCAGCATGTCCCACACAGCCACTCCATAAACAAAGCCACTTCACCTCTGGGTGACCAGGATGGTTCAACTGGAAAGGCTGGTGGCCTCTTGGGCTCCATCCAGCAGTAAAAATCTATTCCCTGGAGTCTGATGATTACATTAGGTCTTTAAAAAGCTCTGCTTGTTAACATTTTTTTTAGCCTAGTAAGGCAGAATATTCTTGAATTAAGACTGAGTAAATGTCCTATGTATTCAGACTTCTTACTCATTGATTTACTGTACGAGACAGGGTCCAAAAAGGAAACAGAATCAACACCAGTAATTGATCAGGGAATATTTAATAGAAAGAAATACTAACTGGTAGCAGGTGAGTAGCCACTCAGAGGGTATAAAAGAGAATTCAGGGAATTCCCTTGAATTCTCTGAAAGTCCCAAATGAAGAAATACACTTGGAGAAGGGGGTTCCTCTCCAGCACTAAGATTCAGACTTCATTGGAGTCTAAATTCATTGTGGCTGGACCTACTGGATGGCAGAGAAGTTGGATTGCTTCAGGCCAAATCTGGTCCATGGCCAGCTGGCTGGGACTGGTGAGCTGGGAAATCTGGGTAGGAACTGGCATTCAGAAAGCTTTCCACTGGGGTCCAACAAAACTGGCTGGAGGGCATGTGCCACGTCGCCTCTTGGACACACACCTCCAACTGCTACACTCTAGAACAAGAAGACAGGAAGCAAACAAATCAAGAGAAGTCTCTTCCTCTGGCACTGTCCCTCCTCTGATGTCTTTCACGGACAAAGATTAACGCGATGCTGATTAGCAAATGATAAGTCTTTTAGGGTTCCATCTCCAGTGTTCCAAAGCAGGGCAATGAAGGGTGAATTTGGAGCACAGGGGCAATAAATGGGTAACTGGCATACCTACTGTGAACCCCCAAAATCTGATATTGGTCTCAGTAATTAAGAAGTTTATTTTGCCAAAGTTAAGGACGTATGCCCGTGACCAGCTTCAGGAGGTCCTGACGACACATGCCCAAGGTGGTCAGAAACAGCTTAGTTTTATACATTTTAGGGAGACATGAGACATCAATCAACTTGTATAAAATGAACACTGGCTCTGTTCAGAAAGGCTGCGACAACTCAAAGCAAAGGTGGAACAACTTGAAGTGCAGAGGGGGCTTCCAGGTCATAGGTAGATAAGAGACAAATTGTTGCATTCTGAGTTTCTGATTAGCCTCTCCAAAGGAGGCAATCAAATACGCATTTACCTCAGTGAGCAGAGGGGTGACTTTGAATAGAATGGGAGGCAGGTTTGCCCTAAGCAGTTCCCAGCTTGACTTTTCCCTTTAGCTTAGTGATTTTAGGGCCCGAAGATGTATTTTCCTTTCACACTACTTTTCCCCAAATCATTAAATTCCAAAATATGTAATGCACATTTATGAATGCTCATTACACATTTTATGCTACAATAAATAAAGTGATGCATTTTATAGTTTTCAAGGAATTGCGGTAAGAAACAGTGGCAGTGGAGTCTAAGGCATCTGTAGTTTTTCTAATAGCCCATAGGCAGCTGACAATGAATGTTTGTCAAATAAGCATGCTGTATTGCTATATTGACTTTCTGATATTCATGCATAGAAGCTTGTGATTCAGACCATTACAACATCATTCAGTAAGCCAGTAATTGTCAGAAAAAGGATACCATATTTTGAGTGAATGCGAATTCATTTATTTGGTCAGTCAATAAATATTTGATGAATACCTACTGTATGTTAGGTATTGGGGATATAGAGCAATGCAAACGTTTAATACCCTTAAAGACTTTAAAGTGATAAATGTCTTGAGGAAGATGCGTAAGTGCTATGACAGCAAATAATGGGGAGACTTCATCTACTTAGGAAGGTTGGGAAGAATTTATAATTACAAGAGGTGCAATTGAGGTTGAACTGAAAGAGGGAGTTAGTTGCCTAATGGCAGGGTGTAGTGGGAAGAGGTATTCCAGGACTGGGGAATATCATGTGCAAAGATCCTCTGATGAGAAAGAGCCTATGTTCAAGGAAATGAAATAAAGTCTGTGTGGCTGAAGCATGGGGATAATGGAAAGGGATCATTGAGGGACATGAATTCTCCGGCAGATTTCATTTGCACCATTGATTCTCCTGGGTCTCCAGTTTACCTGTCTACGCTGCAGATTTGGACTTGCTAGCCTTCATAATCATGGAAGCCAACTCCTTATAACAAATCTCTTTCTCTCTATATATGCATATCCTATTGGTTCAGTTTCTCCGGAGAACCCTGACTATTACAGACCTTAATAGGTAGGAAAACACCTTAAATCCTTCTTCAGGATTTCATTACATCTCACTGGTTTATCACTGAGGGCAATTTCCCCCTCCTGGAAACATTTAGCAATATCTCAAGATGTTTTTGGTTGTCATCACTTGGGGATAATATTCCTGGCATCTAGAGGGTAGAGATTAGGCTCAGCCTCCTAAAATAAAAAAAGACAGTCCTCTCCCCACCCCCATAAAGAATTATCCCACAGTTGAGAAACCCTGCTCCATCTGAATGGATAGCCACTGAACTATTTTATGCAGGACTCTGGGTGGAGAGTTAGGGTAGGTTGAGGGAGGGAGGACAGTGAGAGTGATCTTTTGCATTTCAAAAGTATCTTGCTCTGGAGAAAGCTAATAGTAGATACAGGTTGACATCAAAGGGTTCATAAAGAAATTACTGTCACTATTAGCCATGTGAAGCCTAAAGTAAAATTTGTTTACTATCTTATATAGTAGTATTAATTTTTTTTTTTTTTACCATGACTATAAAAACTGCACCCATCCCTCAGGAGGATGGAGAAAGTCAGTGACATTATTCATTCAAATGGCTTAACATAGGGGAGAAAATTAAAACATGGATAATATTGGTCGTTTAGTTATCTCATTCCGATGACGTGTGTTGCAGATTTTCATGAAATTAAGGAATCTATTTTCTATCAACTCAACTTTCAGGCCTGTAAACATTTTCAGGTAAGAAAGCAATGCAACAAATTCCCCCAAATTTCCATATGGTTAAAAGCTGTTGAAGTCTAGCTCTACAGGAAGTCATAAATATTCTAGTGGAAAGGTAATGAAAACTAAATCCTGAGAGTTTTAATTGGAAGCCACAGGACCCTTAGCTGAGATCTGAGGGGAAAGAATTTTGACTGCTCTAGGAAGTATTTGGTATTGTGGTGATAGATCTGAAAATGAGGAAAAAGTACATTCAGGCAGCATAGGATGTCACAGGCTGGCCACTGTTAAGTATTTTTTTCAACAGTTATCAGCCCATTCAAACGACCCTACCTCTAACTCAGCAAGGGTAATATTTTAATCCTCTGGGCATCTTTTTGTCTAATCTTTTTCTGTGTAGCCACCATAAAAACTATAGGCTGCAGATACACTGCTATAAACAGATTTATGTAAGAATTTTAGAAGAGATTTTGTTTTCAACCCTCTTTAAAATGAATTACAAATATTGAAAGTCTTTGTTGCAAAGGCTTTAACTAAATGAGTATTTATTTGGCAAGCTCTTAATTTTCCTTTTAAATTCCGATTGAACCAGGTGTATTGGCTCACCTAAACTGACTTCATTAAGATGCCAATTTTCACTGTTTTCGAAGAATCAAACACGTGTTTTGAGCTTCAGAGAAAGAGAAACTGCCAGGAAAAAACAAAACAGTGGATTGTGAATGAATGCAAAAAGTAGGTGGAAATAGCTAAAAATAAAACTATTCCCAAAGCAAATATTAAAATACTTCTGTCTTGGTGCAAAAAGAAAAAAATAAGAATCTCCATGCTGGCTGGGCAGTAAAAATAACCACAAAACATCCCATAAATAGACAAATCCTAAAGTATTATGATCCAAGAGATTTCATTCATTCTCATCTTGGTGAAAATGTATACATCATTCTTTGTTGTGCCGAACCTTCTAGACACTTTAATTAATGTATATCTTCAAGCTTTTTTCTCCTTATTACTTGCTTAAAACAAGCAAGCAAACAAACTTCAGTATTCGAAAGGAAAACTTGTGAAAACTCGAAGCATGTGTTACCAATCAGCAGTGTGTATTAAATAGATTCGGAATAATTGCTATTATCGTAAAGACTAAATAAGGTTTGGGACTTAGAATTATATGTGTTAAGTGGTTGAATATTCTACCCGGAGAGCTTCTATGTACGCTTTTGCAAGCCTGGTTTCCTCTTCTGTACTTGAGTTAGCTCCAACACTACATTTTATTCCCAAAGTTTGCACATATTTACCTTTCACTCACAATCTTGTAAAAAGGAATTGCATTTCTTTGGAAATGGAAACAATCTAGAAAGTGAGTAAAAGGAGGTATTGATAACACACAGCTGTGAGATGATGTCTGCAATTTTTAGTGACTAGAGTGCAAAGTACAAGAAGTATAATTTATTAAAACACCAATCTTTTCACCTCTTACTACATTATATTTTAAATCAAAGAAAGTAAAGATTTTTAAAAGAGGGAACATGAATCCAGGTGTTTACACTGTAGTCATTGAAATCAATCTACGCCACTGGAGGAAACTTTATATGTTAGAGCATTTTCCTCCATGCTTTGTAATTTTTTTTTATACTTCTTCTCTCTTTGCCTGATGGTTGGCGGACAAACTATTTGCAAACATTTATATGACTTCTGCTTATGTGTTCCAGAGGGGAAAAGGCCTTTTGTTGTAGATAGTAAAAATCAAGCGAAACAGATAGGGTCATGATTTGCCAAAGGTCAAAGGTCATGACAAGTGAGTGACTCAAGAAGCCTTGAGGTCAAAGGTGCAGCTGGAATCCCATAACCTCCACTCTGCTTTTTACATGACAAAGGAAAGCTGTGCTTTCCTAACTTCTGTGAAGCAATCTAGCTACATGTTCACATTTTTCCTTGAAAAATTATTTTCAAATGATTCTGCCCATGATTATTTTCTCCCTTGAAACCAAGTGGCATGAAATAGGCTTTTATATAAATTGAATGTCTCCTTAGCCTTTTATTAGTATTCTATATCGGAAACCTAGAAGAGGAAGAACTAACAGAGATTAATATGTGTTTTTTAAATGGAAAATAAGCACATTTTTTAGATCAACACAGACTAAAGAAGTACATTTATCCTCTTTGTTATTTTCTTTTTCAATCCCTTGTGTATTTACTGACTGTACCTAAAAATGTTTTTCTTGCAAAAGTAACTAAGAGTAATAGTGATCTCTTATGCTTTCCATTTGGAACATGTTCTTCTGGTAAATCCTTAATACAGCTCCAAAAATAAGGTTTTGTAACAAGAACCATTCTGGTGTTAATGTCTTCTTTTTTTTTTTTTTTTTTCTGATTTAAAGCAATTAAAATTTTAATGATGCCAGGAGGGCCAGAATGTCTGTGGCAGATCTCAGGAAATCTCAGTAGCTGCCTATATCTCTACCATGTGAACTGGAGGAAAAATGCAGAACCTTGCTTTTCAACTCCATTGGTTTCTAACCTCTCATGAGCACTTAATTCCTCATAGAGAAGGAAATAGTCATGCTGTAGAATCCTGTGGCCCATGAAGGGTAATTGGATAACATCTTTTGAAAGATTTACAAGGCTGCCAAGGATTTTGCCAGCTTTAAACCTGATTGATTCAGTGTGAAAAGATCTGAACAATTGTGACCTAAAAGTTTAAAGACAGACCTTTCCTGTGAAAGTATAATTTAGAGCCTGTAATAAAATTGTATTGGAAAACACCACATTGAAGAACACAGCCATAAATTGCATTATGTTACAGGACCCTTTCCCCTTAAATCCTCTGAAAGAGGCCTAATTGTTCACCAGATACTTTAATAATGAAGTGTTTTTGTTTTTGCTCTCCTACCCCCTAAATAAGTCCCTAAAGAAAGACAAACTTGCCAATTACTTTGCCTCTCCAACCAAAAAGTTTGACTTCTTGGTTATGTGTACAGATAGAATTTATGTACCTTTTTTTTCTCATTAGGTACAGTAAAGGAAAGCAAAATTTCATTTATCTTAAACAAAGAGTAGACCAAACAGACTTGTCCTGTATTTTAATTTTTCAAAGTGCTAATTCTCATCTCATATTAATTTCCATCTTGACAAAATATACACACTCATGATTAGTGGAATATTTTATGGGTAAGCTCAAATGCTTCTGATGACTCAGACAAATTAATGATTAAACATCTTCCAGCTAATTACTCCAGGCCATTAATTATTTATCCAAGTCCATCAGTCTATCATCTATATTAGCCTCTCTTTTCTACTGCCCATTTTAGAAGAGACAGGTTTGGAAAAACTAAAACATAAGAATTTCAAGTAAATAAAATTAAATAGAATACTTACTTTTTTTTTCTTTTTCTCTAGAATCTGGGAAATTGAGACCATGGTATTTAGACAGAAGCCTCTTTATCTTTATAAACAATACCTGCTTTGTCACACGCTCACTAACTTTGTGTTTCCTCCTCAAATTTCAGTTTGAAGGATTTAGGGGAAAATGCCATGTGCCCACTTACCTGTGATTTGGGTGCTAGGCCATTTTGCCTTTTGAAATTTCGAATCATACAAACTAGTCTTAGATGTTTAAAATAGGAAGCCTGATACGCGTACTAGGCATATTTACAAGTGACCAAGAATGATTGCTTTTTATAGAGGTTGGTGAGAACAGAAACTTTCCAACAAATTGAAAGCCTGCTTCCCTCTCATTATTTAAAAAAAAAAAAAAAAAGACAAAAGAAAAGCAGAACTGTGACATTAAGAAAAAAAAATTGCTTAAGAAATATGTAAAGGAGAGAGCCCTCTGCAGTGTAAAGTAGTTGACAGCATGAAAAGCCACTTGGAAAGGTAAGAGGGGACACAGTGCTGTACTCTCACATTTCTTTCCTGAAGAATTAGGTAGTAAGTTGGCTCAGACTTTCATCTTCTTCCACATCCTACCTAGAGTTAAGTGTCAAGAAGCTTATTTAACCGGCCACCTGACAAACCTCTCCATCTTGTGAACTAGAACAGCTCCCCCCTTCTGGAAGTCATCGAGGGTCGAACAAATTCCACTGTATCAACGTCCAGTTGATCATTAGCATTTTCTGTAGGATGTGTTGTTTATGATTTTGGTCTACAATAGTCTCTAAACTGGCACAGTCCCCAGAAGTTCTTCAGAACGTTGCAGTCAGTTAAGACGAAAATTGTTAACTCCTGGAAAAATACACCAGAGTGAATGAAGAGGCCGATTAAAAATTGTTAATAAAAATATATTTTGACATGTTCACCTCAAAAGTATCTTTATAGGAGTCATCCTACAGGAAAGGCTTGGAACAGTTAGACAACCTTCCAGGGAGTTCTGATTTTGAGTTCTGGTGCCACCTTGTGGACAGTGGGAGGAAGAGAAGATGCAAAAGAGGCTTGACTGAGTCATTCGCAGTAGATCAAGAATGTCATCTGATTAATTTACTTCATACCCTTTGTATCAAAAACAAAACAAAACAAAAAACTCCAAACTAGAAAAAAAAAAAAAAGGCAAAACTTTATCACTTTCCAGAGGAGGAACTCTTTAAGTCTTCCCATCAGTTAAAGGATTAAGAGGATTAAGACCAAAACCCGATTTTGCTGACATTCAGGGTCTCTCGCAATCTGATTCTAGCCGATTTTTGCAGCATTACTGGAAACCACTCTTCTCCATGAATTTCTCATTACAGCCATACTGGTCTGCTCCTCCCAGATAGTCATTACCTTTGCCCATGTTATCTTCCCATCCAGAATAGACCTTTAGATGCTTTTACAATCTTCCATTTGGAAGGACTTTACAATTGGATTTGATGTCTTCAATGTTGGTGCCTCTCATAAAACTCCGTCCTAAGAAGTCCTTGAACCTCTTCTTGAACATCTCTGGGGCAGTGCATTCAACCTGATTGAAATGACTTATGATTTTTTCAGCGATCTCTAGTAGTAAACGCTTTCTTAAGTTGGACATGTACCTTTTGCTCAAGAGCAGGCTGAGTGCTGGATGTATGAGGACTTCTGTGCACAGACTCTGGACCAAGATGAGTTGGGTTCAAACTTCAGCTTTGTAGCTTTCTAGCTGTGTGGCATTGGGCACATAACTTATCTAGGCCTCAGCTGTTTCTTCACCTGTAAAATAAGAATAAAAACAGTGCCTGCTATCAATCATATCAGTTTTGTAAGTCATCTTATATGTATGAAAGTACTTACAACAGTGTGTACCATGTAGTTGATACTTTGTAAGTGCTGGTTAATGGAAACAGATGAAAAGAGAGTATTGAACAACATATCTCAATGTGCACACTTGGAGCATCCAACCTAAAGATGCCACACTAGTTAAAGTCCCATAGGGATATAAGTTTGGGATATGCTGAATGCTATATACAGATGCATACTGTGTGCATGTATGTACTCTATCTATGCAGATATATGATAATTAGCATAATCGAGGCTCCTAATTCTTGACATATAACAACCCACCTTTGTCTAACGGCATTTCCTAAACTTATGTGACCCATGAATCCTATTCAAAGTAACATCTTAACATCTCATTACATATGTATGTTGTAGAAGAAGAATCCTCAACTCAAAACATTTAGGGACAAAGCAAATAATGTAAATGAGGGAAGAAGGCCAGGTAAAATACAGTATGGAGTAGTGTGAGTTATGGAAGTCTAGAGGACGCATGCTTCGCCTAAATGCATTTCACTTTGGCTTGTGAAAAAACACCGTGTAGGCCAAGGAAAACATATCCGAAATCTGAATCTGGGCCGTGTCCAGCAAATTTGTGATTCCCGTAGAGTGAGAAAAGGGAAGTAACTGCATAATCTGGAGAAGAACCAATTTTTAGAGATAAAGAGAAGCCAGAAAAAGAGACTGTGAAGGAAAAGTAGGAGATGTAGCCAGGAAAGAGCAGCATCCTGGAAACAGAAAGAGGCAAAACAGAGGGGTCTCTGGGTCTCGAGAGGTCATATTGGTTTCCTATTGCTGCTATTCTGAATTACCACACATTTAGTGGCTTAAAGCAACACAAATTTATTATCTTAGAATTCTACAGGCCAGGAGTTTGATGTGGGTCTAACTGGGCTAAAATCAAGGTCTGGTCAAGGCTGTGTTACTTCTGGAGGTTCTAGGACAGGGGTCCTCAAGCCCCAGGGCCACGGACTGTACTGCACAGCAGCAGGTAAGTGGCGGGCAGGTGAGAAGCTTCATCTGTACTGAAGGCTGCTCCCCCATCGCTCCACTGGCATTACCGCCTGAGCTCCACCTCCTGTCACATCAGAGCAGCATTAGATTCTCATAAGAGCCCAAACCCTATTGTGAACTGTGTATCTAGGTTGCACACTCCTTATGAGAATCTAATGTCTCATGATCTGCCACTGTCTTCCATCACCCCCAGATGGGACCATCTAGTTGCAGGAAAACAAACTCAGGGCTCCGACTGATTATACTTTATGGTGAGTTGTATAATCATTTCATTATATATTACGACATAATAATAATGGAAATAAAGTGCACAATAAATGTAATGCGCTTGAACCGTCTTGAAACCATCCACCCTCCACAGTCCGTGGAAAAATTGTTTTCCACAAAACTGGTCCCTGGTGCCAAAAAGGCTGGGGATCACTGTTCTAGGAGAAAATCCACTTCCTTACTTTCCTAGCCTCTAGAGGCTGCTTGCAGTCTTTGGCTTACGGCCCCTTCCCCCAGCCAGGAGTGTGGAGTCCTTCTCATATCACACCATCTGACCTCCTCTCCTGCTTCCCTCTCCTGCTTCCCCCGCCCCAAAGAAATAGCGTTCATTTTATTAACTCTAAGCCAAATGAATTAACAAGGCTTTCTAGACACATATTAGGAATTATCACAGTAATATGTTATTGACACAATTAGTAATGTCTCAAAATGTATTGAACTTACTGAAATATTGTTATGGTTATTTTAGTTGTTGTTAGTGCTATTAATCATATGCATTATTGTTTGATAGTTTTTTGAACTTATATGAGGCAAGGTATAACATGGAAACAAATTATAATTGTGTAGTAATTAATTTTAGGTGTTGAAGAAAATATTCAAGAAGTTGTTGAGCATATCACTGAGGGTGTGTGCAGGCCTCTAATGGCAAAATATTTTGTTTTTATATATGCTTATGATATCTGGTTAAATTATTGCCTTATTAGTAGGAATTTTAAAAAAACTGATACCAGCTTGAACTCAAGCTGTTATTTTTTCAAATTAACACATAAATATAGGCTAATAAAATACATTTGAAATAATAATTGCCAGTTTTCTCTCTGAGAAAGAAAATTGGAAAATTCTTAGTTTATATATATATTGACTTTTTGTTTTTTTTTTTTTACAGATATTACTTTATAGTAATTTATCTTAGTCCAGGTGCAGTGCCTCACACCTGTAATCCCAGCACTTTGGAAGGCTGAGCTGGGAGGATTGCTTGAGGCTGGCAGTTCAAGACTTCTTCCATTTTAAGGGGCCTTGTGATTACAGCTGGTCCATCTGGATATTCTAAGATATTCTCCCTATTTTAAGGTCAGTCAGTTGACAACATTAATTCCATTTTCAACCTTAATTCTCCTTTGTCATGTAACACAACATATTGACAAGTTCAGGGGATTAGAACATGAACATCTCCGGGGGACCATTATCCTGCCTGTGACAGAAGGTAAAGAGAATACTAAAGAAAGGCCAAGAATCTCTGAGAGCTGGAACTAGGGCTTTCTCATCCTCTCCTCTCCTCACCTAAACGATCCATCCTCTTACCTTCTGCTAATGGGATAGAAAGTTGGGAAAGGAGAATAGAATTGAACCCCATTTGACAAGAAATTAAGCACATAATTCACAGTGTGTGGCACTAAATAAGGATGGGATGTCTTTTGGTAGGAAGGAAATAGTTCAGGGAAGCAGCTCTATGATGTCTGTGCAAATTAGAATAAAGATGCCCAACCCCTTCCCCCCCCAGGAAGATGAATAAGAAGAGGGAGCCTCTTCCAGGAAGATAAATGCCGAAAAAGCTACCTTTTCTCCATCTGGGGACGGATGATACCAAAATGATGCCCCCTTCCAGGCTGATAAGGTTTGGCTGGGTCCCCACCCAAATCTCATCTTGAATTCCCACATATTGTGGGAGAGACCCAGTGGGAGGTAATTGAATCATGGGGGCAGGTCTTTCTCTGCTATTCTCATGATAGTGAAGAAGTCTCATGAGATCTGATGATTTTATAAGGCGGAGTTTCCCTGCACAATTTCTCTCTTTGCCTGCTCCCATCCATGTGAGATGTGACTTGCTCCTCCTTGCCTTCCGCCAATGATTGTGAGGCCTTCCCAGCCACGTGGAACTATGAGTCAATTAAACCTCTTTTTCTTCCCAGTCTCGGGTATGTCTTTATCAGCAGCATGAAAACAGACTAATACACAGGCCAGTGCAGTCTTCTGAAGGTCTGCAGAAATGGACAAGTGGCACACCCATGCAGCCCTCGGCTGGGTTCCATTGCATGGGGCACAGTCTTCACAACTGTAGGGGCAGGCAGGAGACAGCCCAGGTTCTGGGCTCCCCTGACCCTCCTACCCCTCCAACCCCTCCAACTAGTTCTTTCCTATCAAAAGACATACTACCATTATTTTCATGCTCAGAGACACAGTTTTTCCATGGTTTTCCCCAAATTTCTAGGATTTTCTCAGAGCATTTTGTACAGAGCTCTAGAATAGCCCATAGCACATGTTACTTTGATTTCTTACATAATTATCTTTCTTCTTGGCAGTGAATTCCCAGAGAGCAAAGGAAATTTAATTTTTTTTAACCTCAGTAGAGTGTTTGTATTTATATCATTGAATTTACCACTGATGGGGTATATGAAACAATTTTACTTGATATGAAGATAAATTTTAAAATGTTGCTAGTTAAATATTTAAGTGTTTATTAGAATATGTATGTGGCATCTTGATATTCATAATGTGGTTCTCAGACTCATCTGAGAACTTGTGAGAAATGCAGAAATGGCCCCAACCCAGACTGATGGCATCAAAATCATTTTAGCTTTATCCCAGGTGACTTGAGCTCACATCAAAGTATGATAAGTGGCCACGGGGGCTCATGCCTGTAATCCCAGCACTTTGGGAGGCTGAGGCAGGTGAATCACCACCTGAGATCAAGAGTTCAAGACCAGCCTGGCCAATATGGTGAAAACCCGTCTCTACTAAAAATACAAAAAATTAGCCAGGCATGGTGGCAGGCGCCTGTAATCCCAGCTACTTGGGAGCCTGAGGCAGGAGAATTGTTTGAACCCAGGAGGTGGAGGTTGCAGTGAGCCGAGATTGCACCATTGCACTCCAGCCCAGGCAACAAGAGTGAAACACTGCCTAAAAAAAAAAAAAAAAAAAAAAAAAAAAAAAAAAAAGTATGACAAGCACTGAGAGCACCAAACCCATCATCTAGCAGGTGATACTGTGTAGAATGGGCCGCATTTAAAAAAGATCCATTGATTGAAGTTTCATTTAAAGGAAAATAACACGTAGGTATTGCTTCAATATGACAAATTGTGAAGGAACTAAACAAATGACTGATGTGTGGGAAACAGTGAACTAACGCATGAAGGTGGCCGTAAATGTGTGTGGAATTTGTTGAGTATTTAATTTTCTGTAACTTTTGACAACATATTGATCTACTAACCTAATAGGTACCTAATTCTTTCTTTCTTTCTTTCCACCTACACCCAGATTTTTTCTTTTTCCTGCCTAACTCACTCACTTCCAGGCTTTGCCTTATACATTTCTTCACTCAGTCATCAAGCAACAGATAGTTATTGAGCTCTTCAACGTCTATGGCCCATCTTAGGTATCCATAAATGAGTCAGAATCCGTGCTTCATCAATATAACATTGCGTTACCATACATATGGTCTCAGAAATCCCTTTAAGCACTTAAAGTAATTCCTTTATTACTGACAACTAAGAACAAACCCAACTCTTCTCAGGATTGAGTTAATCACACAGAGCAAGGAACACAGGTACATGTTACAATAGTTACATTGTAACGTGAAGTCCCTCAGATTATTACATAAGGAAGTTCTAGCTGCACATGCAAAATCAGCTGAGCCATGTTGGCAATCCGGATTCCACCCAGATGCCACAGGTTTCAGGAATGGAGTCTGCCACTTATTCATTCTAACTTGACGTGCCAGTCATCAGCAGACTTGAGCACTCTCAGGCAAATAACAGCAAGAGGTTAGAAAGCAGAGAAAGAACCCTAGGCTCAGAATTGCTAATTGCTAACTGCTTTGGGGCTACCACTCGGGGCAATACAGTTTTATTCTTGAGATCCTGGGCATAAATTGTTCAACGCTATTATACTTAGCCTAGCCCTCACTAAACCAGTAATCTGAGAAGCAAAATGCCCCACCTATAGTTCTTCTCAAATTGCCAAAATACCCATACTTTATGTACAAAATGGAAGATGCTTGTTATGATTCTATGTTGCCTGTTTATGGATAAATCTTTTAAGATGTAACATTACAAACACTGTTAGATTGTGTTATGCTGGTTTGACACTTCCAAATGACTGATTCAAGTGATTCATGAGTGGTGTGGTGTGTGGTTTCAAGATAGAGAGGCAAAGAGCATTTGTGCCCATAGAATATGATTCATTTTTTTAAAAACCCTTATTTGAAAATTTAGGGAGATTGGCAATCAATACTTTATTCACTGGAGAATTGATTCAACAATCCAATGCGGGTCTAGTATGAATTGTTGATAATTGAAGCATCTTTGTTATCTAAGACATTTAAATGCTCACTTCTGCATGTTATTTTGATGTAAGAGCTATAATTTAATGTTTATCAGGTATCTTAAGTGCTTTATTTGTATCTTCTCATTTAATCACTACAACTTTCATTTTACAGGAGAGAAATCTGAAATCTGAGGTGCAGTTGATTTGAATCCAGGAAATCTAAGGAAAAAGTTCAAGCTCTTAATCATTTCATACCCTTCTTGTTGCTAACTTAAACTTTTTTTTTAAAAAAGTTAATCTTGTCTATGAAGCATGAATCTATAATACTAGGGAAAAAACTGGCTAACTTGAAGAAAAAATAAATTGAAATGAAAAGCAATTAATTCCTCTTAATATGAATAAAGGATGATCTAAATGCTTTTTGAGAAATGATTTCAAGTAATGAAATTTACAGGAAAAAAAATCCTCTTTTCTGAATAAGCAATCATGGTATTAATCCTAAGTTCTTTAATCTTTATATTTACATTTGTTCTTAAAGCTTGGTGTTTTCTACCAAAACCATCTGTGTATCTCTGTCTATCTTCACGTGTTCTTTCTGTATACATTCATGCATGCGCACACACACAGAGATTTCATTATTTATTCATAAAATAGTTGAAAATCACTGCTTTGGCCCTTTTAACTGTATATAAATCTCTCAGTTCTCTAGTGCTTGGAAAGGAAGTATTTATTTTATTTTATTTTTATTTTATTTATTTTGAGATAGAGTCTCACTCTGTCGCCCAGGCTGGAGTGCAGTGGTGCAATCCTGGCTCACTGCAGCCTTAATCTCCAAGGCTCAAGCTGTCCTCCCACCTCAGCTTCCCTCGTAGCTGGGACCACAGGCATGCCACCACACCCAGCTAATTTTTGTGTTTTTTTGGAGAGATGGGGTTTCCTCATGTTGCCCACGGTGGTCTGGAACTCCTGGGTTCAAGTGACTGGCCCTACCTTGGCCTCCCAAAGTTCTATGATTAGAGGCGTGAGTCACCCTCCCTCGCCAGGAAGTATGACAAACAGAATGAGCCTGCAACCAGAGTCTTTGATTCAAACCCTTGCCCACCATTCACTGACTGTTTGAGCCTCAGTATCTTTATGTGGAACATGAGGTCTATAACAGAACTTAACAAACAGGAGATAATTATTAATGAGATTAAATGCAATGAGGAATGTCAGTGGTACCCTCTCTGTAGAGGAACTTAAGGAGTTGAGCCTCCAAGCTTCTTTCTTGATATGCTGATGAAAGACATAGCCTAGTTTATGGTGGGTGCTGCTTAAATTCCAGCCCTCTCTCTTTCAGTCAACAGGCTTGGACTCAAAATAAGCCCCATTCAGGCTGATTTGCCTGCCTATATCAGTCACAAACTGCACCTCTTGCAAAAACAGCTTTCCCTCCAATGTGTACTGGCCTTGAAGAAGACTGAGATATAGGGAAACAAAGATCTTTAAAATCAAGTTACTGAAAGGTCACTGAAATAATATACAGTGAAAGATGGATGATGCCATCATTGTATAAATAAAGTCAGTACAACCATTAAAGAACTTACAAGTATGGGTTTTTTCTTCTCTATGGTTATGATCATGGATAGAATAATTTTGATATGACCATGATTATATTATATCTGGATGGTTTAGATGTCTTTCAGAAAATTAATATTTATTCTTTGGCATTATATAATTTCTTAAATAAACATGAAGAGAGAAATGTTTTGAATAACAATTCTCTAGTCCTAAATTTTCTATACTTAGCATGTATTGTTTCTTTTTTAATAACTTACAACAACTTTATTTTAAAATTAGTTTAGGCAATGTTTTTTGAAATGGCTTCTTTGAAGTCGCTTCTTGGAATGATTATAGCCATTGTGTAAAGCCAGCAATAAAAGAAGGATTTGAAAGTAGAGAGTAGAACAGTAGTTACCAAGGGCTGGAGGCAGGGGTAGAGGAGATATTGATCAAAGGACACAAAATTTCATTTAGGAGGAATAAGTTAAAGAGACGCACTGTCACATGGTGACTACAGTTAATAACAATGTGTTGTGTTATTGAAAATCCATGAGGGTAGATTTTAAGTGTTCTGACCACAAAAAAAAGCATGTGAGGTAACACATACATTAATTAGCTCTATGTAGCCATTCTATAATGTATACATGTTTCAAAACAACATGTACACAATAAATATATATGATTTTTTATTTGCTAGTTAAGAAAAGCGTTTGACACTTCAAAAAATAAAATACTTTTGGCATATGAAGAGTCATTTACAATCACGCCCCAGACTTTGTTGTTAATATTAGCAGGGATAGTCATTGCTTATAAGGTCTTCACATGCTTATAAAAGAAGTTTCACTAAATCTAGTTAGCATTGAGAAGTGTTGACAAGAAGAGTTGAAAATAAACCTCAAGACAACTTTCTGATTTAAAATTCTATTTCTTGGTGTGTGAATGTTATTTTTGAGGAAACATACACTTTATTGCAACATAATAAATAAATGAGAAAATAAGACAATGTTATTTTACCCAATATAGCAGGGTGGTCTTTAAATAAGTGCATAAATAGCCCATGAGATAGTTTGAAGCTTTCAGCTTTGTCACCCTGTTGGTCTAGTCAAATGACTCACATATTAGCAATTTGTTTGCAAAACATCTTCTTCTTATAGTTTCCATTGGATTACATAAGATTGTTTTATCCTGATAGATAATCTGGACTTTCTTCACCAAAAGAAGGTTAATATTCCTACAAATTTTAAACCAAAACATTAAATTTTATACTGAAAATACATCTTCCTTGAGGTCAAGACTGTAGGGGAAGGCAGATTTTTGGTGTCCTTATCCAAATGATAGCCTTGCAAACCAGGCTGTTTTCATGAGAGGATTTTCTTACTTTATTTAAATCTTCTCTGAGCGTAACAGGAAATAAATCTGGAGACTCCAGCTTCTGGAGCTTTTCCACAAAGAAGATAATCTTTCTGATTTAAAGACACAATAAACCCTTCTTTCTCCATGTTCTTCAAAATCCATAGAGCTCAAATAACCACTTCTTTTCATTCGCTATAGAACAGCATTATTTCCAAAATTGCATTTAAATCATCTACATACAGAAGGTTAAATTTGTTTAAAAATGAATAATTACATTCATTTCTTTACATTTGTACTCTGAATAATGTGGAATTTAAACTAGGTGTGGTTACACTTTAGCTATGAGACATTGGGCCGGTCACTTATTCTCTTCAGAGGATTAAAAGGATAAAATATTTTAAAAAATATCTATCTATCTATCTATCTATCTATCTATCTATCTATCTATAGATAGATACACACACACACACACACACACACACATAGAGTTCTTATACAAACCCTCATTAAATGTAATCCAAGTTGTAGACCCACAGTACTGATTTAGGTAGGCAAAATATCAAATTAACAACAACAAAAAAATACCAGACATAAAAAATGTGTCTCATATTCTGGACACATCATTATTCTCTGAAATATCCACAGACCACTCTAATCTGAGCACACCCTAGGTGGACCAGGAACACAAGTAATGTGAATGACTGCAATAATAAAATGAGTATGTTAAACTATCAATTACTTGGCTTTGATTCTGTGCTTGAATTATATTCAATGAGCCTCTGCTGTGTGCCAGACAATGTTCTGGGCAGCAGCGACACACTGGTGAACAGTCCTTGCCTATATGGAGCTTACATTTTAGAAGGCAAAGACAGACCAATAAATAAGTCAGCAAACAATTCGTCAATATAACTTCAAATAATAACAAATACTTTGAAGAAAATCAACTAGGGTCGTGCCTGAGGGCTTGGGAATTAAATGTACTTTAGTTTGGAAACCAGAGAAGTCATGGCTGAGGGATTTATATCTTCACTGACAACTGAAGACCCAGAAGAAACCAGCAAGGCAAAGGCTGGGAATCAATGTCTCCAGCTGTGTCCTTGAGGAAGCAGGAAATGCAAACGGCTCTAAAGGAAGAAGGAGCTTACTTATTTGCCAAACAGAAAGAAAGTTGATGAGAGCAATGAAACCGCAGTAAGTGAAGGTAGAGTGGGAGGAAAAGGCTGGGTCATTAAAAGCTTTTTTAGTCATTTTAAGAGTTTTGAAATTTTTAAACAGGGGAATGAGATCATCTGATTTTTGACTGAACAATGACGCTGGTTGCTACATGCAGAATGGCAGCAGGGAGATAAGGATGTAAACAGAAGACTGATTGGGAAGTTATTTTAATTCAGGGAAAACATGATGCACTTGGATTGAGGTAGTAGCTACAGAAATGGAGAGGATGTTATAGGTCCTATGACGTAGAAGAGAATACTCTGGAAGCAGAATTGATAGACTTCATGATAGGTTATGTGAAGAAGGATCAAAAAGGAACCAAGGACAGCTATACAGTGGTTGGTTTGAACAATTGATGGTTCATGATGCCATTGCTGAGATAAGGATATTTAAGGAGGAAGATGACGAGGTGAGGAAACTTTTTAGAGCAACTAGGTGAACCTTAGCTGTGGATATTGTCCATTTCTCTAAATGTGATGCAGTTACTGGGGAACTGAGAAAAACTACTGCTTTCTCCATCTTTCTAAAATATAATTCACTTTTTTCTCATGTCTAAAACTCTTTGCAAAACCTAGATTCTTTGTGTCTAATATATGTCCACAACACCATATCTGCAATTCCAAATTCCATTAGTTTGGAAAAGTAATAGATTTGTGTAACCTACTTGGCAGCAAAATTCACCTGATCTGGTCTAATTTGGTGGCAAAATCCAGCTTGAATTTAAGGGATGTCATTGATAATGTTAAAGCAAGATTAAAATGGAGACTGCCTGAAGAATGCCTTACCAAACAAAACCAACAAGGCTTTAAAGAGAGCCTTAGCCTTGCTTAAGTTGCAAACATAAGCAAAAGTTAACTCGGATCTTTTTGGGTAAATGCTTATGTTATACAGAGACAAAACTTAACCTAGCCAATCATGAGCAGTCTACTAAGATATGATTATGTGACTAGGGACTTTCCAACAAGGTAAACCATAAAAAGCAATTTGTAACTGCCACTAGTCAAATAACTTGTTTTGTTTTCTTATTCACCCTATAAATATTTGCCTCTGAAGCTGTGTCATTGGAACACTAAACTTCATTTAGTCTGGTGTTCCCCAATTCATGAATTATTTCTTACTCAAATAAACTCTTTAAAATTTTATTGTGCCCTATATTTTTCTTTTACAAGAAACTTTATCCCTTTTAATATTACTATTTATACATTTTGGTGTAGAAACGTTAGAGTTTGATTTCAGAGTGCCACTCTAGACCCCACTGGGGTTACGTAGGATATGGTACATGTGCTGTATAATCTTTATGACTTTTTTAAAAAAACTTAGAATTCTGAAACTCATCTATCCTCTGGTCCTAGAGAAGAGATATAGACCTTTAACTTTAAATTGGATAGTATTTTATTATGTGTTTCAGTGCTTGGTATAAAGAAATATTGGATCCTTTTCTGAGAGAAGTGGTTTACAAAGTGTCCTTCATGAAGGGAGGAGAAATTCGGAGAGCAAAATTTGCTGATATTACAAACTCTAGACCCAGGCATAGAGGGCAATGTAGGTGACTTCAGTGTAATGGATTATGAGGGCAGGAAGGATGGGTTCTTATGAAAGGGAAAGTCACATAGACAGACAGATTAAATTAATCAGCAGTCTAATGACTTAACAATTGTGTCAAAATTCCTAACTCTGCTTGCCCAAGTTAACTTGGGGCAGCTTGAACACTTAATTTTATTGATTCTAGGCTGCATATTTTCTGCATTTTAATTTTTCGGAAGTTGGGACGTGTCTTATGATTGATGGAATCTTAAAATGGACTCTGATCGGGTGGAAGTGATGATATGTTATTTCCCGCCCATGCTTGGCCTTGTCTGTTGCTTCTGTACCATATGGCAAATAAAAACTTTGATATCTCAATCATAAACTATTTGAGAGCATTAATAGGAAAGTTTATGTCTTTTGACTGTTACCCAAACTTTTCCATTGTCAGAATTAATTAAGATCAAGAAAACACTAACACCAAAACTCAAAGGATGTTGGAAGCTTGAAAGAAGACCTCAAAGACAATATTTGGGCATATTTTAAGAGCATCATCAATACTCTGTATGGCACCGAGGATGACTTATGGAAAAACAGAGTTATCAATGACTTTTTGTTGGAAATTATCCAAAAGAGTAAGATTCTGCAAAGAAGTTTGTGAATTTATTTACCAGTTTATTTTTATTTCTATTTTCATTTTACGATTGCCTGAGAGTGATATTTGAAAAGTGTTATATTCATATATGTCTAAATTTTTCAACAAGTATCAAATAAAGATTCTAAGTTATAAGAAAGCATTGTGTCAGTTTAATTGTATGATTTCTTAAAATTAGCTCCACATGAATGAACGGTACATCTAAAATTGATAATTTGATAATTGTCTCAGATTTGAGGAAATACTATCCTCCATTATAGACAAAGGCTAGAAGGACCTGGGAATGGGGAGGGGGACTATGTAACAGACAAATATTCCAATCTCAGATGATTATTCTTCCACTCTCCTTTTTTCTCTGAGTCTAAGCTCATCTTTTACTGTCCCTCTGGACTTTAACAGGCACTCTGCTATTAATGCTTAAATGGAGCATCTACTTAATTAGATTACAGCATTTACAGGACATAAACCTTTGGGTACATGTCAAAGACCCTGGACTTTAGGCCACAACCAATGTAAGTGGATGATTTCCCAATGATAGCATATGCCTAGAAAGGTTTGGCTTTATTTTCCGTGAGTTCTTATCTAATGCAAAATAAACTTTGAATTTATATTTCTTGAGTTTTCCAGCACACAATGTTTTGCTTTTATAACTTCTATTATTAAAAGAAGAATATTATACTATTTGTAAATGTTTTTGATGTGCAAAATTTTATACCTATAGGTTGCAAAATCTGTGCATTGCACTAGAAATTTTGCTGAGTTTTCAGCTCTTAGCCACAGCATTTAAGTAGTACAATTCATTTCATGTTTAACTTTATTTAAATATCATAGTGAGTAGACCATTGGTTTTCAGATTATTTTAAATTTCTTTGTATAATCTGAGTTGATTTCCCATTGTGTCTGCCAAAGTACTCTTCTTTCTTCTTGAGGACAGTGCACATTTAGAAATTACCTTTTTGAAACATCTTGAAAACTGACTCTTCAAAAATGACTTTCAATACTTAAGAACATGACAAAAATATATTTATAACATAACTTTTAGTTACATGTTATGCCGTATATAAAACTATGTACTTGTGAATGTTCAATACCTATCCCCCTCCCCCCAAAACAGCAACTTGTTTTGTTGCATTTGCTGATTTATATAGTATAAATACTCCCACATGTCCAGTTTCAAAGTACCAACTTGATGTCACTGGACATACAGTTAGGAAGGGTATCATTATAAAGTATTTTTACAGTAAAGAAGCAATAAATGTAAGCAACTACAAAAGCACACATAATAGTGAAATGCATTAAAATAATTGGGAAATACTAAGTTTTGAGTATTACTTCGTTTGCTTATTTTGTAATTTATTTAATTGTAAGTTTATATAATCCAATTTTTGGCAATGGCTGTATTTAACAACTGGTTTCCAAATTTACAAATGTACTCTTTTAAGCCTACATGAACTGGGTGTAGTTCAGCACTCCTGTATATATGATATTTGATATTGCCTATTATAACACAGGTTAAAAATAGTGAAGCTTAAACTCATTTGAGACTTCCTCCCTCCCTCTTTTCCTTCCTTCCTTCCTTTCCTTTCCCTCCTTCCTTCCTTCCTTCCCTCCATCCTTAAGTTCTTACAGATTTGCTAGACATGTCAAAATGAGTAGAAATCAGTATGAACAAATTAAATTATAAAGTTACCTATTTATGCTATTGATATGGGGACAGACAGAAATAAGAAGGTTATACTTTTCCAGGATTCTATAATATATATTTTCTTTATATGTCAGGATATATGTACGTATCCAGTTATATATCTTGATACAGTTATTTTTGTTTCTATGAAACCATGTTGAATGCTATGAAAAGCCTTGATAATGGTAAGTTACTAAAAAAGGCTCTCTAGGTATGAGCAAGAAGGCGAAAGACTGAGATAAAAAATACCAGCTGTTAGTTTCTGTATTCTGATTGCTTTGCTAGTATCTTTATATTCTTGGACCACTTTAAAGAAATAAAACCCAACATTTTAAATAATGAATTTCTGAGGAATACTTATCTACCGATTTGTAATTAACAAAAAGACCTATGTTAAAAAAAGTAAGTAAATGTGTGCATTTTTGCTAAAATAAAAATCAATTTTAATTATTTTTAATGGTTATTTGTATCATTTTTATTTAGAATTTTTTGTTTTGTTTGTTTTTGCCATTAACTGATAAAATATTACCCCAAACACAGTGGATATTAGGGCTTCACTTATGAATATACTTACCATTTCCAAAATTTATACTTACTACATTCTGAGAAATGCAGAGTTAGAATGTAGCAAAGTAAGGCAAGACACATAATTACTAGCATCAGGTGTTAGAAGGTCCAATTAAATTTCACAGAATTCAAGAGAAAAAAAATGAATGTAGTCAGGTAATCTCTCTTGTTGAAATTATGACACAATTTATTTAGTTTATAATCAAATTGCTGATTGCTAACAATTTTTATTGACTTTTTGTTATGTAGCCCTGGCATAAAAGGTAACTATAAGGAAAAAAAAATCCAAATTCTCTTTAACCTAAAAGTCATTGTCTTGAATTTGACTTCATTGTTGCTTTTGAGGATTTTTTAAAAACTTGTGTGTATCTGCACACAAAATGATTATTCAGAATTGTTTCTTTTTCATAATTCTGGCTGCTGTTGAATGGTGATATTTTGTTCTAAGCATACAATGCTTTCCTGAGCTTTCTAGGGATTATGAAATCATTTGAGAACATTTAATAACTGCAAGAAATTTGCACTATCAAAGTAAAGAATTGAGCAAACTGCCAAAATAGTATGACAATTAGGGATAGAAAAAGGGAGGAGAGTACTTTCACCCTAATTCAGATTTCAGGCAAGAAGAATAGTCACTTATAGAATTATCTGGAAAATTACTTTCATACTTTTATTCACTCAGATGGTGAATAAAAATTTTGGCCTCTTTGATAGTTTTTATTATGTACACTAACATTATGATTAAATCTGATAAATCTATATTTTGGTAAAAGTGACTTTTAATGACAGAAAGCCTTGCATTCTACAGTTTTCATCTTTTTTTAAACTTAACTTTCCTTTTTGATTATTACTGAAACCAATAGTCTGCTGTGATTTGAATTCATGCAGTGAATGCTTAACTATGTGGTACTACTCAAGTGTGAAATTAATAATGGAGCTGGGTTTGTTGTGTGGCCTCTGACTTGCTTCCCACAATTTGAGAAGGTGTCAGAATTATGGCTTCTATTAACCTTCCTTTGTGAGGGATTTGTGAACCTATCAGATTTGCTTCCAGCTTGAATCAGTAGAAGTAAAGTGATAATTTTTGTTGTTCTTCATTTTGAAATGAAAAAGGCACATCATGTTGAATCATTTCGAGCCACCCATTGATTTTAATGTGTCCAGCTTGAGACCCTGTGCACTGGCTGTGATTGTGGCTAAAATAATTGAGAGCTTAGAAAACAAAAATGGAGCCAATAGAAGATACTTCATTATGATGAATAATCACATCCTCAACTTCCAGAGAAATTTGTTTCCATTTTCCAGGAAGCGCAAGTTAACACCATGTTTATGGTAACTCATTTACTGCAGAATACTTACTGGTGGATTTAACCCTGAAGGCAGGCCAGTGACATTGATAGTAAGTATAATAGAGCAAACCATAAATATCCTTTTGTGTAAAAAAATCCTCGTTTTATTTGTATATTGTTACTTGTATGTCTTATATATAGAACCTTTTAATTTTTATATTATAAAAATAAGTATAAATCATATAAATATAAAAATAATATAAATATAAATTATATATAGATTTACATAAATATAAATTATATATATGGAAGTCTAAAATCTTAGATCTAATGCCAAACTTAACCATAACAGTAGAGAGGAATAACATTACTCTTAAAAAATATTAATTTTGTCCATCTGACTTGTTTTACTTAAAAAAATCCTCTCTCCTGTAGTAGACTTTGAAGCAGAAAAATACAGCTTAAAGCATATTCTTAACCACTGTTGTAGTGGGTTTTTACTATCTTTGTTTTTGTTTTAGCTTATGTTTCCCTAGTGAGAAGTATTTCAGTAAGTTTCACCGTTAAATCAGTTCAGTGTAGAGCTCTTCATCCACTGAGAGAGAAACATTTTGATTGAAGATTTTTCTCAACCTTGAACGGGTCAGTTAAATTTTACCCCAGCCACTGGCTTTATTGTCTGTGTTGACTTGAACTGTGTTTCAATTAATAGAGTTTCTGCTATACTTTCAGTCTAGTACTTTCTAGTGTGCCTTGCTTTTGTTCCTCCTAGGAGGAAGAGTGCTGAAGGCAATTATTAAAGAGAAAAATAAATTTTTCTGTGAGAAAAATAAATTCATAAACATAAAATAAACCTTAAGAATTGTTGTTATTATTTTTATGCTACAATAGACATACTTTTCAGTTCATAAAGAAAAACATAACCAATTTTATTGGGTAAAAGCTTGACAACTCATTTTTATTTTTACACAGAATTCACTTGAATCAGGATGCCTGGACTTTATACCAACCAAGGGCATATGATACAAAAGATAGGCTTCTCAGCTAAATCTGTATTCCCTGCTTCCAAAATGTGTGTGTGTGTGTGTGTGTGTGTGTGTGTTTAATAGAAAATGTTAACGCTACCAACAGAAGCATAAAACCCTCTTTCCCTTCTCCATCTTGGTTCATCTTTCCTGAAGGCAATCATCTGAAACTCTACCACTGAAGGCTTCAATTTCAACCATCCTATTTTCAATGAAACCATAATTTTCCAAATTTTTTGTTGAAAAGAAAATTCCCCAGGGAGAGGTAATATTTTAAAAGTTACCAGTCATCTTTAACTATGTCAGAATAATTTTGGATCCATTCCTGAGATTTTATATTGTTCAAAGAATGAAAACCATGCTGAGAGGAGGGTGGGAAAGATGTTTGGGGCTCAAAAGACCAAAATTTTATTAGTAATTGTAACCAGTTGCAGCCAGGTATCTTAAGATGTTTACAGGAGGGGGTATGGCATGAATGTTTATTCAGAGAAAAGATTTCCTCTTCCTCTTGGCCTGAGCAAGAGGATATCCAGACTGTGCTTTAGATTTAAGGAAGATAGGGTGGTGTTTCTTAACCAGAAGCTATGTTGGCAGTACTAAGACAGAAACATCACATTATTAATATCTATTATTATTTTCTAGCTACATATGTCCTCAAGCCAGTCATCAATGAATCTCCTGTTTCCATGAGAAGACCTACCCTGTTCCATGTAGATGGAAGTGTAGTTAGAAGTGTCTAAGGAAGTTCTTCTTAGGGCAGAGACAAAACACCTTACAGCAATAGTCATGGCATTTCTGATGGCTGGATTGCTGGTGGTACTTGGGTATTTACTTTTGTTTCTCCTCTCTCTGGATGACCTCATTCACTTTCTTTCCTTTGAATGCTATATTGTGCAGATGATTTCCAAATAAATCCCTTAGCCAAGGCATCTTTGATCTCCAAATTCGCATATAAGACAGACATGTCCACTTGGACATCTTAGGTATCCCTGCATGGACATAGCTAAAATTGGGCTATTGATTCATACTCCCACTCAAACTCGGTTTTCCCTCCCTTTTGTTACATTCCCCATATTAGTCAATGCATTAACTTCATCTAGTTTCTCAAGACTTGAACCCAAAATTCAGCTGTTTCACTATTTTCCTCATTTCCATCTCCACCATCCAATTCCTCAGCAAATGCTGTATCATCAAAGAGCTCCATGCTTCACTGTCTTCACCACCATTGCCCAAATTGAGGCTGTCATCATCTCACATTAGAGATGCTGCATGGCCTGCAAATTGGCCTTCCCACTTCCACTCTTGTTTCCCTAACACTTAATCTTCACATGACAACCAGGAAGTGTTTTACACATACATATTTCCTCTTTAAGTTAAATTAAGTACTGATATCTAATGCAATTGGAAGAGTTGTGAAATTCTTCCATTGCGCTTGTAATGAAATCCTTATCTTGGTGTTCAAGGCCCTACAATACCTTGCCACACCTTTTTCGTCAATTTTCCTTCTGCCAACCCCCCTTCTCAGTCCTCCAGCCTCACTGAGTTTTTTTTTTTTTTCCAGTTCCTTGGACATTCCAAGCTTTCTCTCACTTCAGGAATTTGGCACATGTCCACTCTGCTTGGAATTTATTTTTTTCCACTTTTGGAAAGAATAGATCTCAAAATAAATATCTCTTCATGGAAATCCTAGCTGCCTACTCCACTCCTTGTCAACCCCTTGTCCATCCATTACCATCTACCGAAGCACAATGTTCATTTCCTTCACTGTGCTTTCCACAAGGCAACACCTGCAGGAGGTTAGGTGTTTGTCTTATTCATTGTCACTCAGTGTTTGTTATGTTTCCTGTCACTTGACCAATATTTGGGCATTGAGTGAAATAAACTCTTACTTTGTCTGGATCCTCCAATTGCTGCAACCATCCTGAAGCCCATCTGCCTCTTTTTACTTTTTAGGGCTTCTGTTGTTTCTCACTTATTTTCCCTACTGCATTCTGGATACTATCTTCCTTTTTGGTTTCTGTGCATTATCTTGACCTTCTGTTCCCTTGCTTGGATTCCATGGGTGTTCATGTGATCAATTCATTTAAACTTATTTGTGAGTCCTTTAAATGAAAGGCAATTTGTTGAATACTGCAGGGCATAGAACCTTGAAAAAAATGCCTACTCTTGCGGGATTGGCTCATTTTTGGTATAAGCATGGGGCAGAAAACAGGGAGGAAAGGTAAGTAAACAAACAACTTATATACTAAGATCTAAAAACTTTCCAAGCATTTTAGCTCATTGGTTTAAGTGGCAGTAACTTTGATAAAAAAACAAAAGATCCAGAGAAACTAGTTATATAATTTCAATTGCAAAGATAATGGAAAAGTCAAGTGGTTGTGGCATGTTATTAATTATGCCAGATTCACCATCTCAAAATGCTGATGTCACCCTGAAGACACACCCTTGACAATCATTCATAGCAGCAGAAACAATATAATTTTTCATTGAATTATTTCATTCACTCTCTTATAAGTAAAATTTTGTTAAGGTTTTAGAAACAGTAAGCGAAGTAATTGCTCTTGAAAGAGTAGAATAGCATATATAGGAAAAGTTCTACTAAACTTTTCTTTAACACAGTTAATAGCATGCTTTTTCCTTTTTGCTCTTTATAAGGAGAACAGCTTAGTATTATCAAAATTCATCATCACTTCACACTGGTCTCTCTCTGAGTATTCAAATAGAAATGTTATTAGGAAATCAGCCCAGAGTGTCTACCAAATCTTGGCTCCAAAATCAGTGGGCCAGTAGTAATTAAAGACTAGTGGAAGCTTAATTGCATAGCCAACTTACTCCAGCAAAAAACAAAAGCACACAAACAAAAACAAGGCAGAACAAAACCCAAAGAATAAAATTCTAAGCATTTGAATTCTGCATAATATCAAATTAACTTTAATAGTAAAAAGATGAACATTTTATTTAAGTCTATCCAGGCAGACACAAAACTCTTCCCATCACTAACAAAAAATGTGTAATACCTTGTGTTTGGTCAATTTAATATTGCTAGGGTGAAAAATGTTTATTTAAGCAGCCATCAAACAAATATTAAATACTGGAAAAGTTTCCAAAGTTGCATAAAACTGGTGCTTGAGATCAATTCGCAAAGCAATTTGTCAGTTCAAATGTATTATTTCCATTTTTAATTCATGTTTGGTAGAATGAGCATCTAGTTGCCAGTGTGAATGTAACTCACATGAGATGGTGTTGACTAGACAGGTGAGAAAGGGAAATTTTATAATTTATCAAAACAAAATATTAGGAACCAAAAAGAAAACTCACTGAATAATCCCAGCGCCATCAAGGAAGGTACATATTTTAGGAAGTTAAAAATAAGTGACTAAAATTCATTTTTATTCTTAGACTCTTTAAAAAAGAAATAACATTGGGAACCATAAATACAGTCACTTCTCTATTTTGATAATTTTTTTTTTTGCTCTGTGATCTATGCTGTACAAAGGGGGTTAGTTATGATTTTTTTTTTTTAGACGAAGTTTCGCTCTTGTCTCCCAGGCTGGAGTGCAATGGTGCAATCTCTGCTCACCGCAACCTCTGCCTCCTGGGTTCAAGCAATTCGCCCACCTCAGTCTCCCAAGTAGCTGGGATTACAGACACCAGCCACCATGCCTGGCTAATTTTTTTTGTATTTATTTATTTATTTATTTATTTATTTAATAGAGATGGGTTTTCACCGTGGTGGCCAGGCTGGTCTCAAACTCCTGACCTCAGGTGATTCTCCTGCCTCAGCCTCCCAAAGTGTTGGGATTACAGGCATGAGCCACCGTGCCCAGTCATCATTTTGTTTGTAACAAACAAAGAACTGAGAATAATTATAAAACAACCTCCTTTTTTTTTTCCCTGAATGTCAGCATGAGTCTGACATTGAAAAAAAAACACAATCCAGTCCTTATCCAGAAGCGGCACTCATTGAATTTACAGAATTACCTGAAATACAATTTATTACTCTGGACTGAACAAAATAACATTTTGATAAAGCTAAACTCCCAGAATAAAATGTTTGGCACTGGCAAACCTCAAGGAGAATATACTGCTTTCAAAATGTGATCCTAATGTGATATAATGTAATTGTATTGTTGTTATCTTACAATTATGATGAGATATGCTATGCATTTAATGAAGAAAATTGAGAAACTTCATAAAGAATAAAGCCAGTTTGTGAAATTTTGAAGACATAAAATTATGGTAAATGGTTTGAGTTACAGTATTTTATTATGTAAAATAGGTGTCAATATCATGATTACTTCACTTTCCATGGTACTTTATGAGCTCGTTGTAATACAATTTAGTGTAGTGGAGTGCACAGTGAAACAAGTATTCTCTGTTACTATACAACTAATCTTCGCAACAGCTGTGCTTTTACCATCCTCAGCTGTTCCGGTTACAACAATCATCCTTTTAACAGCTCGACACCTGTCTCTTATTATATTTGAGAGCAATTATTAATTTCTTTAAATTTTCCATCCCTTTTCGTGCCTTTGCGTTGCTTTATATTCTGATGCACATTTACATGCCCTATTATATTAATTCTCTCATTTGATCTCAAAAACCTAAAAATTATTAGGAAGTTAATTGTGCAGAGATCAGAGGTTTTTCTCACAGTATAACTCTGTTAAATGACACAGTTTGTTCCAGCTTCTTGCTGACACTGCAAAGGATTGTCTAGAATGAAGAGTTCAATTACTTTCACAGTGCTAATCATATATCATTATGCAGAGGCATGAATCCTTAATTCCCAAGCCAGTGCCCCAAGCAGTGTGACAGCAATAAAAGACACATTCCAAATTCCTCTGTCCACTGCAGCATGCAGGTAATAACTGAAGAATACAATAATTGTGTCTACTTGGCTATGTTCTTCATTAATTTGAATATTTAATGCCCGTAATGAATCACATTCCATTAATTTTTATTCACCCACAAAAAGGAATTGATTTCAGATGCATTTTTCAAGGCTGAATATGTATTTACATTTTTTGAGAACTTCCCCCTACAATTTACTTCTCATCATTTGTCTTTCTAATTTTTCAAGGTACAAATAAAAGTCACAAAAACACTGAACCGAGTTTTCCAGGTGAAAAATACCTCAGCGTTAGTAAAGCGTGACTAGTCCTTTTCTCCACACAACCTCAGACACATAGGTTAATGCGTAACCAAGACTATTCTCTTGTTTAGCTTTCCCAAGGTCAACGAAGAAATGAAATCAGAGAAAAGAATATTTTGTTTGTTTCATAGGTAGGAAAATGGCTTATAAAATCTCAGAGCAGAGTGTCATCTCATTAAGATAAATGTAAAAGTAACTCACCAATCACAAGTTATGAACATGGGAAATGTGTCATCATCAAAGCCTGTGTTTAATAACAAAGATGCTGGTACATTTCTGGCATAAAACATTTTCAGTTAACATTTTCTTTCCTCTCCTCCCATTCTTCTCCTCCCTTTTCCGCTCTGTTTGCCTGGGCATGAAGCTTGTTGGCTCCCTCTGGTGCTGTTGCCAGTTTGTTCTATAATCTGTGCAGCTGTAAATTCCCCCCACACCCCTTCATAGCTTCCAAATCTGGGATAGGGTTATAATCAGATTGCCCCTTTGAACAGAAACATGGATAGCATAGTCCTTACTCTTAAACATTTTTTTTCTTGCTAAAGCTTCTACTTATTTTATACCTGCTGTTTTGTGGGGCACTCTTAACTATAGGAACCTTAAAGATGTTTTACAGTTGCAAACACATCAATTTATTAACAGAAAATAACTTCAAATGGAATTTTCTAATGAAATCACTTCAATCAAATAGTAATGTTGGCAAGTAGTAAGTTTCAAATGGTTTCCCTGTTTTCGTTTCTTTAACTTTCTTCAAAATTGAAAAGGAAAATAAATCTTCCCATTTTCCTTTTTACTTTCTTCTATCTTTTCTTCTTTTTTTCCTTTTTCTTTTTTTTTTTGGAATAAAGGTTAGTCTTGTGCCCTTTTGTATTCCATGTACTAAGTTCCTACACCTGGACTTCAGTAGGTATTCAGCAATGTTTCCTCTGTGACCATTTTCTATATAACCTGTAAATACAGCTTCAATATTATGCCTTTTTTTGACAACACATACTGTTTTTCAAAAGTTGATTCTATGATATAGTGCTTCTTTCTGTTGTCCAGTCTCTTCCATATCATAATGCTTACACTAAAAAAGTTCTCTACTTCATATTATTGGAAACTAGTACTTTCTGTGTAAACAGTGATCTCTATAGATACAGCAGATTCTTTTTAGGGTTAACTGGTAATGTTTTGCCTCTGTTTGTTATGTAACCCACTTTGACTACTGGGAGGTACAATTTGCAAAGATGCCACTGTGTTACTTTGAACATATTTTATAACACGATGGTTCCTATAGGTTTTACATATCAGAATAAGAAATAGATTATTAGAAGGATCAGAATGATTATAAACAGATGATAAGAATTATCAGACCTGCTGTGGTTCAATGCAATGAGACTGGGAACAGCCAGGGATCTGAAGAGTTGGTAACTGTCATGAGTCATTTTGAAATAATGGACTTACTTATATTTTGAAAAGGACAAAGTAGTGATGATTATTAATCCTAGTCACACTTTGAAATCATATAGAAATCTTCTAAAAATTACTAATATCTAGGCTGTAACCAAACCAATTAAATGAAAAGCTCAGAGATAGAGTTTGGGCGCCTCTATGTTAAAAAGCATCCCAAGTGATTCTGATGCAAGGAAAGGTTGCTGATACTCGGGCTGGAGTCTTGGGTTCAAAACACAGTGCTGCCAAATCAAACCAATACTTGCTCTCATAAAACTAGTGCCTGGCTACCTTTTGGACATTGGTATTCATTTCAAAATGTATTTCAAATTAGCTTTCTTAAATATCCCATCCCCAAATTGTCATTCTGAAATTCACCTTAAAACATCTATAGTCATGCATCGCTTCACAGCAGGGATATATTCTGAGAAATGTATCATTAAGAGATTTCATCATTGTGCAAACATCATAGAGTGTACATAGACCGAGATAGTATGGCCTACGCCTAGGCTACATGGTATCGTCTATTGCTCCTAAGCTACAAACTTGTACAGCATGTTACTGTGCTGAGTATTGTAAGCCCAGCTTGTGCAATCAGCAGCCCACGGGCTGCATGCAGCCCAGGACAGTTTGAATGTGGCCCAGCACAAATTTGTAAGCTTTCTTAAAACATTACGATTTTTTTGACGGTTTTTTTTTTTTTTTTTTTTTTTAGTACATTAGCTATCATTAGTGTTAGTGTATTTTATGTGTGGCCCAAGATAATTCTTCCAACGTGGCCCAGGGAATTCAAAAGATTGGACACCCCTTCTGTAGGCAATTGTAACACAGTGGTAAATATTTGCATATTTAAACATATCTAAATGTAGAAAAGGTACAGCAAAAATATAGTATTATAATCCCATCAGACCAGCATTGTTTATTTGGTGTGTCATTGATCAAAATGTCATTATGGGGTACATGATAGCATTTACATTTTAATATTTCATATTAAGTCACTGAATTCTATGGTTTTACTGTTGGAAATTATGCTTTCTTTTGTTTTCTTCCTTCAAAACTGAGACATCTCTTTAATTTTAATACATTAAGATATTTTAGGCCAGCCATGGTGGCTCATGCCTATAATTCCAGCATTTTGGGAGGCCAAGGCAGGCGGATTGCTTGAGCTCAGGAGTTTGAGACCAGCCTGGGCAACATGAAGAAACCCTGTCTCTACAAAAAATACAAAAATTAACCGAGCATGGTGGCATGTGTCTGTAGTCCCAGCTACTCAGGAGGCTGAGGTGGGAGGATGACCTGAGCCCAGGAAGTGGAGGTTGTAGTGAGGTAAGATTGCACCACTGCACTCCAGTCTAGGTGATAGAGGCAGATCTTGTCTCAAAAAATAAATAAATAAATAAATAAATAAACAAATAAATAAATATATTTTTAATAAACCTGATGTTTAAATTTATAATTTTATAGAATAATTATTAACATTCATGTTATATTGTCAGGTACTATTTCCATTCCATTTAATTTTTTCTTTTAAAATAAAATCAGTTTTTAACTATATATTTTAAAGTACAATTTTGTATCTTTGAATTTTTTCCAGGTAAATAGAGACTGAAACTAGAAAAGACACTGTTAGTTCATATATCTATATTTAGAAAATGGTCACATTACATGTATCTATTCTTCTTTTTCTTTCCAGATTTTCAAGAATGCCTATCTTTTTTTTTTTCTTTGTGTGACAGTCTGCAATCTCTTTTCTTTTGTAGATGTGGGGTTTTTTTCCACCCACTGTAATTTATGTGTGGTCATTGTCTGGCACACCAACATGTATTGATGAGCTCTTGCTGCATAACAAATTGCCCCAAAGTTCCATGGCTTAAAACAGCAAACATTTGTAACTGTTCTTGCTTCTCTGAAGGTTGGCTGAAGTTCAGCCAGTGTAGGCTGAACTCAACATATGGCTTTGATGATCACCCTTCACAAGCCTACGGAATGCCTGGGGTGACTCCATTTCAGGCTGTGGGAACAAGGGGTTTATGTTTCATATATCTCACATTCTTCTCCTGGTACCAGAGTGTCATCTGGGGTATGCTTTTTTCATGAGAATGACAGAGGCACATGAGAACAAGTGGCAACACAGGAGGACACTGAAGTCTTGGCTCAGAAATTGCACACTCTACCCATGTGCTATTAGCCAAAACAAGTTACAGGGTCAAGCCTGATTGAGGGATGGAGAAGCACACTCTGCCCTCCCTCCATGAGGCCCAGAAAAAGTGTGGATGCAGAAGAAAGTTGGAATTGGGGTGAGTAAGACAGTCTGTTACATAGAACTACCCCTCATTCTTGTGCTCCTAGCTGGTATCACTGACCTTTTAAATCACTCTTTTCCACTGAGTTAACACCGGCATCAGAATTCTTCTCAAGTCAGTGTTCAATGAAGCTATGTGAAATTGAATCATTGGATAGACCCTGTTTTCTCTTCGTTATCTAGTATCCACTTTTTTCAAGTCTAATATTTCTTTCTCCTTTATATTAAAGTTCAGACTTGACATAGCTTGGACAATTGGTTTAAAACATTAGTTACTCAATATATTTTTTATTTGATCAATGGTTCCTTTTTGCCTTCTGTTGGGATAAGATTGCGAGGGAAGGATGACACTTACTCCTCTCTCTTGTTGAGGTTTTATGCATGGCCATTGACTTACGGTCTTAATGAAATATGACCAGAAGTGACTCATGTTCCTCCTAAGAATCCTCTACTTGTGAGACCCTTCAGCGCTTTCACCCTTGCTATATGGTTATAAAAGCAAATATTGATATGAAGGTGTAATGCTGAGCTGTTAGAAGACAGAACCCCTGAAGCATCACCCAGACCCATTGCCAACTTCCTTAAGCAAGAAATAAAAACTTTTTCTTAAGCCACTTAGATTTGGGGATTGTCTGTTACCCGCTAACTTAACCTGTCATGAATAAACTAGATTTCTCCAAAACTGGAGCTGAATGTAAAGAAACATATAAATAAATTCAATTCACTGGGGCTGACTCAATATCCCAGATGAACAAGAACAATATAGTCTCACAGATTTAGGAAAGAAAAATCTAGTAGAAAGAATGTGAGTGATTTATAAAAAAGCCTTAGTTCTCTTTTTTTGATCACTGGTCGTGGTTGAAACTGATGCTCTCTAGAAATGTTACCATGCTGGACAAGAGCTGGTAAAGTAGGAGAAAATAAAAATAAGTGAGAAAAGGAGTGGCTTAAAAATGTCAGGTGAAGGGTATAACCTTAGCAAATTTTCCTTTTGTGCTGTCACTCATACCTGACAGCTGAAGTTTAAATATGGAAGTATTGATTGAGAAAGTATCTTTGGAAGAGTTGTCTATTCTGCCTTTGCTTTATATCCGACTAACCTTGGACTGAAATTTAAGATACTACTCTTTCAGTTCTCTGCGTTGATTGAATTCCTTACCTACCTTGCAAAATTGATTTTTTCCCTTATTTTGCTGTCTTGGAAAGATATTATTATTTTTATAAACAAAATATAATCGGGTCTAAGCAGCATATTGTTTCCTTTATTTGGAATATTTTGTCCAAGTACATTGATATAATATTGATGCAGTTGAGTTTATAGCTACCATATTACAATTTGTTTTCTTTTAGACCCACTTGTATTATGCTACGTTTTCTTACCTTCTTTGCCTTCAATTGGATGAATGAAATATAATTTTTCATTATTTGATTTTTTTCCTGATAATTTGTTGGCCACCTAAGTTTTTATTGTTCTTTTAGGCTACTCTAGAATTATGCTCCTCAGCTTGGTGGCCAGGAGCCACAGCTGGCTATTTAAATTTAAATAAAATTAAAATTTCATTCCTTAGTCCCACTAGCTACATTTGAAATGGTCAGTGACTATGGTATTGTTAGTACATATACAGGACATTTCTACAATTGCAGAAATTTTTATTTTACAGTGTTCCTCTAGAGAGCGGAGCCCATATGTGTATTAGGGTCTATCTGAAATTATTATTCTTACCACTTGCCTGATAATGCTAGAATCTAAGAATAGTCCAGCCCTATATACTCTTTCCATGCTTTGTGTCATTGCCATGTGTTTTAATTCTACATATTTTAAATAAACATTTAATTTTACTTTTTTGATTTAGATTTACAGAAAAATTATGATGATGCTACACAGAGTTTCCAAATAACCATATTCACTTTTCCTGATTATCAACGTCTGACTTTATTAAGTATATTTGTCAAAATTAACAAACTAATATTGATACATTATGATTAATGAAAGTCCATACTTTTCTCAGACTTCCTTAGGTTTTCACCTAATGATTTTTTTTCTGTTCAAGGATTCTATCTATGATACCACATTACATTTAGTTGATAAGTAGATATATTTTTTAATGTATCAAGATTTAATATTATTTTGTACAGTTAATACTTGTTTGTATTTGCCCACTTTTTAAGCACCTATTTTACCCTTCTTACTGCTTTTGTTTTTGTAAGACCATTTTTCTTTTTCATAAAGAATTTCCTTTTTTATTCATTTCAGTGAAAGTCTTCTGTCAATGCATTTTAAAAAACTTGTATTTGCCTAAAAATGACTTTATTTAGTATTTATATTTAAAGAGAATTTTTACTTGGCATAGATTTTTAGGATGGCAGATATTTTCTTTCTGCATTATGAAGAAACCATTCCCTTGTCTTTTGGTTCCCATGGTTTTGGTAGACAAACCTGCTCTCATCCTTAAGGTTGCTTCTTTGAAATAAATGTATTATTTTCCTATGGCTGTTTTCAGAATTTTCCCATTCCCATTGGTTTTCAACAGTTTTATCACAATGTGCCTATTTATGACTTTCTGTGTAATTATCTTGCTTCATATTTGCAGAGCTCCCTGTAGATTTTTATTAATCACTTTCACTAATTTTGTTAAGTTCTCAGCCATTGTTTCTTTAGATATTTTTTCTATTTCGATCTTTTCCTTCTCTTTATATGAACTCCAATTTTACATATTTTAGACTTTTTCGCTATGCTGTTCATGCTTCTCATGCTTTCTTTATTCCACAATCATTTTTCTTTCTGTATTTTGGTTATTATATTTTATTTTGACCTGTCTTCCAGTTTATCTTTCCAATAATCTTATCTTTTACTGAGTTCAACCTGCCAGTATACCCAACCAATAGTTTCTTAATTTTAGATATATTTTTCAGTTCTAAAAGTAAAAGTAAAAAGGTGTTTCAATTAAATGATCATATTCTTTCTCTTTTTCTCACTCATCTATTTATTCCTCTCGTCTTCTGTTTCCATTAACATATCATTATTATTTTAAGGTACTTATCTGTTTCTCTGTCTGCTAAATGGAGGAAGATAACCTTATCTTGTGTCTCTTGTTTTTCATTTACAATGTGTAGCATTAAATCAAAATTATTAGAAAACAATTAATTGATTACTAAAGAATCCAATTTCAGAAGGTGATCCATTTATTGAAGTCAGCAGACAAAGGTCTTAAAGGGGAAACTCAAGCCTTTAATTTAGTCATGTTAATCCTGCGTGACCACAAATGTCTCTGCTGGTTTCTTTGTATTCCAGTTCTTCTCCAGGGACAAGAGTGGAATCCCTTTCTCTGCCCACTGAAAAAATTGAAAGTACATCTGTGGCTCACCAATATATTTCTCCTTCCAAGATTTTCCACTGAAAATACGTTGTTCACTAGCACCAGTTCGTCTGAACAGTCTTTTCTCTTTAGTATCACATTACTGTGAAACCGTCTGCTTTACTATTTTTTCCAGTTTTAGTGGCTCGTTTTTTTTTAACCAAATAGATTTTTTTAGAGAAGTTTTAGGTTCACAGCAATATTGAGTGGAAGGTACAGAGATTTCCCAAATGCAGCCCTGCCGCCACTCCACCACAAACATAGCCTCCCCTATTTCAACACCCCCTGCCAGCAGGGTGTATTACCACTCTGAACCTACACTGATACATCATTATCACCTTAAGCCTATAGTTTACATTACAATTCACTCTTGGTGTTGTGTGTTTTATGGGTTTGGACAAATCGAAAATGACAAGCATCCACCATTATAGTATCATATGGAATATTTTCACTGCCCTAAAAATCCTCTGGTCTCCACTGACTCCACTCTATGGCTCAAGTTGTACCGTATTTCCCTTCCACCTCCCACTAACCCCAGGCGTCCATTGATCTTTTCAGTATCTCCACAATTTTGTCTTTTCTAGAATGCCATATAGTTGGAATCCTACAGTATGTAGCCTTTTCAGGTTGTTCTTTTTTCACTTAGTAATATACATTGTTTCCTCCATGTCTTTTCATGGCTTGATAGCTCATTTCTTTTAAGTGCTAAATAATATTCCATTGTCCAGATGTAATACAGTTTATCCATTTACCTACTGAAGGAGATCTTGCTTGCTCCCAAGTTTTGATTATTATGAATGAAGTTGCAATAAACCTCCATAAACAGGTTTTCATGTAGACATGCTTTCAACACGTTTGGGTAAACACCAAGGAGCATGATTCCTGAACTTCATTGTATGAGTATGTTCAGTTTCATAAGAAACTGCCAAACTGTCTTTCAAAGTAGTTGTACCATTTTATATCCCCCCAGGCAATGAATGCAATGAATGAGGTTTCTGTTGTTCTACAGATTCTCCTGCATTTGGTGTTATGACTCTTCCGGGTTTTGGCCATCTTAATTGGTGTAGTGGTATCTCATGGTTTTAATTTGCATTTTCCTGATGATATTTGATGGAGCGCATCTTTTTTTTTTTTTTTTTTTTTTTTTTTTTTTTTTGAGACGGAGTCTTGCTCTGTCGCCCAGGCTGGAGTGCAGCGGTGGGATCTTGGCTCACAGCAAGCTCTGCCTCCCAGGTTCGTGCCATTCTCCTGCCTCAGACTCCTAAGTAGCTGGGACTACAGGCGCCCGCCACCACGCCCAGCTAATTTTTTGTTTTTTTTTTTAGTCGATACGGGGTTTCACCACGTTAGCCAGGATGGTCTCGATCTCCAGACCTTGTGATCCGCGCGCCTCGGCTTCCCAAAGTGTTGGGATTACAGGCGTGAGCCACCGTGCCCGGCCTGGAGCGCATCTTTTTATAGGTTTATTTCCCCTGTATTTATCTTCTTTGGCTGCTTTACTTTATCAAGGTTTTTGGATTATATCTTCTGTCTCTTTCCTACCCAGTTTTGGGGATAACATGCTATGTTGGAGGCCACTTAACTTTCCAGTCTTGTTTTTCCAGCTTGTACAACCACTGAACACTCCGCTGGTTTTGCTCTCCACATAGCGGCCTTCTGCCTAGACCAAACCACATTCTTTCCCTCTTCCTGATGCTCCAGCCTGACATATGCCCTAGTGGTTGCAGATCACCAGCTCATTTCTCCACAGTCTCCCCATGTCTAATATGTTAGTTTTTAGTTTTTAGTTTTTGTTACTTCCACAGAAATCCGATGTTTTAAATAAGTGATTATTATATTTTGTCTATCTTTCCTACTTGCTTTTTGTGGAGGCATTAGTATGGCATGAACTACTCAATCCTCTCTCAGTTTAGTCTTTCTAAATTTTATTTCTGTCTGAACATTGTGTTTTCATAGCATGAATTTTAGTGTAAATATGGCACACCTTGAATTATTATTTATAAAATTAGTTTCAGAAATAAAAAAAACACTAAGAAATTCTCCATATTACCCTAAAATGTGTAAATATTTTAACTTTTTTTGTTTTTTATTGTTATTTAGGGTAAAACTCTATAACCAACACAGCTTGGCCTCTTAATCTTCCTTCAGCACATTGATGCTATGTAAGTATTATTTGGAGCATAAATAAACTGTAGTATGTTGAAATAGCCAATGAGTTCATTAAGGCTGCAGGTGCAGAAGAACAATTATTTTTGTGCTTTTCTTAATGTCTTTTTGCAAACTTTCTTAGGCATTTTGAACTTGCACGTTTTCTGTCAATGACAACCTCTTCTCAAGCTTTGAAATGCTCTCTTTATTATCCTCAGTTTTCTCCCCAGTAACAAAGTTTATTAGTGAAGCTAATAGCCATGAATGGTGGTTCATTAACTGAAACTTCAGATTCACTGGTTTTAATAAGAAAGCCTATGTTCACGTTTTAAATCACTTCACATGTACTTAATTTCTTCTAATCATGTTTTTTGTTGCTTCTTTTTCTTTGTTTAAAAGTAACTTAAAAAGGATTGATTCATTAATACCAACAAAATGGTTGAGTTTGTAACATTAATAAACTAGAAAAGATAAAATCCTAATATTCTTTCAATGATATAATTTAAATGCTCTTCTGATAACAAGGATTTAAACTTTTTTTAAAATATTTGTTTTGGAGATTAAAATGTAAACATGTAAGGAGGAACCAAGTATTTAATTTTATGAAGACCTGAATGTGTCAATATTTCCTATTTTGATTTACTTTCTTGGTGTTGTTATAGAGTGTTTTGTTTCAAGACAGCATCATGTAGTCCTGAACCATTATTTTATTTCTTGTTGCTGTAACAATAATTTAAATAAATATCCCAAATATATGTGAAAACTACTTTTAATGTATTACAAATAATTTACCATGTATGTCCATACGCAAATACATATACATATATACACATATTACAAATAAACATATAAATATTATTCCATTATAATCCCTAATAGTAGAAAATATAACTTTTAATTGCCTGCTCTCTTGTCACCTCTTTGTAACAAAAAGTGGTCTTCATTATGTGGTCAGCTTTCAAAGCTGAGTGAAAGTTTACTTGATAGTCACAGTGCTTGAAATCTTGTATCGTGAATTAGGTTCTACAACACTCCCATGTATTTATTGGAGTTTAACAAAATTGCATGATTCTGTACTACTTGGGTACCAGCAGGAAGCAACCTCTGGGAGAAGGAATCACAGCTGGAAACAATTAAGAATGATTAGTTTGTGGCTGAGAAAATCAAAGTGGGAAGAAACTTCTCTTCAGGGGGAATTAGGAGCTGCATTCCCAGGCATTTCTGAACTGAGTACAATTCTCAGAGGAACTTAGGGCTGAGGAGAAAATGTGAATTTCAAATATTTGGAGGTTTTCTCGGCTTATTTAATAGCTGTATAACC